>NT_167211.2:1743-176608 GCF_000001405.40 Homo sapiens | reverse complement strand
GAATTCTCACATATCTCTGCACTGATCACCGAGGTGATGTAACTCCTGTCTATGTTCAGCCTGCAGGAGAGTTTTGACATATCTCTGCACTGATCACCCAGGTGATGTAACCCTTGTCTAAGCTCTGCCTACAGGGGCATTGTGACAGATCTCTCCACTGCTCACCCAGGTGATGTAACAATTGTCTGGGATTTGCCTACAGTGGCTTTGTGATATACATTTCCGCTGATCAAACAGGTGATGTAATCCTTGTCAAGGTTCTGCTTATAGGGGCTTTATGACATATCTCTGCACTGGTCACCCCAGGAAGGAAACACTTGACTACATTCTGCCTACAGGAGGCTTTACGACTTATCCCTGCACTGATCACTAGGTGATGTAACACTTGTCTAGGCTCTGTATACACGGGAATTTTCACATATCTCTACACTGCTCACCTAAGTGATGTACCGCTTGTGTAGGTTCAGCCTACTGTGGATTTCTGACGTACCTATGCACTGATCACCGAGGTGATGTAAATCATTTCCAGGCTTTTTGTACCGGGGACATTGTGATATATCTCTGCACTGATCACCCAAATGATGGAAATCCTCTCTAGGCTCCGCAGGGAGGGTGCATTGTGACATATTTCTGAACTGATCATTCAGTTCTGTAACTATTCTCCAGGCTTTGACTAAAGAGTGTCAGAAGGTGTTGGGAGAGCCTCAGCCGGAATTTCACGGACAAGGGCACAGAGAGGCGAGAGGGCTCCCTTACACGTCAGCCAGGGTGTGCAATGAGCGCAGGTCTAGCCAGGAGGCCAGCAAAGAGAGCTAGAGGTCAGCGTTCCGCCGCCAGGCGCCCCATGGTGGCAGCTGGGAGGCTGCAGGGGCACGGGCTCTTTTAAAGGCCCGCAGGCAGGCAGGCTCCACCCCTTCATGAATGGCGGTGAGCCCTGGGACAGCCCGCCCCACACCAGAAGGGTCCCAGCTCGTCGAGGCCTGTGGCCGGAGGGTGGTCGGGTGTGGGGGGATGGCGTGGTGATGGTGGTGGTGGGGCTGGATAGACGAAGAGGAAGGGGGCGAAGGGGAAAGGGTGAGGGGGGCGCGTTTTGGGGGCTGGATCTCCGGACCTCTCCAGGAATCCCGCGGGAACTGGAAGCTGCTCTCTGGGCTCCCACGCGTTTTCAGCAGAGAGAAACTGGCCTGGGAGTGTGGCCGGGAGTGTGGAACTGAACTTCCGTGAGTCTTCAGTGTTCCAGGCCCTCTCTCCGTGAAGGAGGCAGTGCCTGTGGGTGGCGCCTTTGCCAGGACAGTCTGACACACGCAGCCGTGTGCCTGTCATTTATTTCCACTTTGGAGACCAGAGCGAGACCCCAGAGAGAAGATGACTCCCCAGCGTGATGGACTGACGATGGATTCCCGTGTGCAGCAACATGGGGAGACTGCAGTGTGGCCGGTTTGGAAACTGGCAAGGAGAGCGAAGGAACCATGCCGGTCTTCCACACTTCCCTCATGTTTCCGGGTCCCCGCAGAGCTCCGGGAGCAAACAGTTAGCATGACACATCTCAGAACTGCTCAACAAAGTGATGTAACACTTGTCTAGGCTCTGCCTACAGGGGCTTTGTGACATATCTCTGCACTGTTCACCCAGCTGATGGGAGTTTTTTCTAGGCTCTGCCTATGGGGGCATTGTGACATATCTCTACACTGATCACCTTGGTGATGTAACTCTTGTGTTGGATCTGCCTATGGGGGCATTGTGACATATTTCTACACTGATCGCCCAGGTGATGGGACTTTGTCTAGGCACTGTGGATGGGGGCTTTGTGACTTATCTCTGCACTGATCACCCAGGTGATGTAACGATTAACTAGGCTCTGCCTACGGGGCATAGTGACATATCACTGCATTGATCACCAAGGTGATGTAACTCTTGTCCAGGCTCTGCCTATAGGGGGCCTTGTGACATATCTCTGCACTGATCACCTAGGTGATGCAACTCTTGCTTACGCTCTGCCTGCAAGGCATTATGAAATATCTCTGCACTGATCACCAAGGGGATGGGAATCTTCTCTAAGCTCTGCCTACTGGGGGCATTGTCACATATTTCTGCACTGATCACCCATGTGATGGACTCTTGTCTTGGATTTGCCTATGGGGGCATTGTGACATATCTCTGCACTGATCACCCAGGTGATGTAACTCTTGTTTAAGCTCTGCCTAAAAGGGCATTGTGACAGATCTCTGCACTGATCACTCAGGTGATGTAACTATTGTCTAGGCTCTGCTTAAAGGCGCCTTGTCACATATCTCTGCACTGATCAGCCAGGTGATGTAACTCTTGTCTAGGCTCTGCTTAAACCTGGTATTGTGACATATCTCTGCACTGATCACATAAGTGATTTAACACTTGTGTAGGCTCTGCATTCAGGGGCATTTTGACATATCTCTGCACTGTTAACCGAGGTGATGTAACCCTTGTCTAGGCTGTGCCCACAGGGGGATTGAGACATATCTCTGCACTTATTCCGAGGTGATCCAACTCTTGCCTGGTCTCTGCCTACTGGTGACATTGTGACATATCTCTGCATTGATCTCCCAGGTGCTCTAACTATATTCTAGGCTCTGGCTACACGGCATTGTGACATATCACTGCACTGATCACCCAGGTGATATAACTCTTGTCTAGGCTCTGCCTACAGGAGGCTTGTGACATATCTCTGCACTGATCACCCAGGTGATATAACTCTTCTCTAGGATCTGCCTACAGGGTGCTTTGTGACATATCCCTGCAATGATCACCCAGGTGATATACCACATGTCAAGGCTCTGCCTACAACGGCATTGTGACAGAACTCTGCACTGATCACCCAGGTGATGGGACTCTTGTCTAGGCTCTCCCAACAGTGGCATTGTGACATATCTCTTCACTGATCACCCAGGTGATGCAAATCTTTTGTAGGATCTGCCTACAGGGTGCTTTGTGACATATCCCTGCAATGATCACCCAGGAGATATACCACTTGTCAAGGCTATGCTTACAGGGGCATTGCGATGTATCTCTGCACTGATCACCTAGGTCATGTAACTCTTGTCTAGGCTCTGCCTACAGTGGCATTGTGACATATCTCTGCACTGATCATCCACGTGATGTAACTCTTTTCCAGAATCTGCCTAAAGGGACTTTGGGACACAACTCTGCACTGATCATCCAGGTGTTGGGCTTTTGTCTAGGCTCTGCCTAAGGGGGCAATGTGACACATTTCTTCACTGATCACCCAGGTGACTGAGTCTTGTCTTGGATCTGCCCATGGGGGCATTGTGACATATCTCTGCACTGAACACCCAGGTGATGTAAGTGTTGTATAAGCTCTGCCTACAGGGGAATTGTGAGGGATCTCGCCACTGATCACCATAGTGATATAAATATTGTCTAGGCTTTGCCAACAGGAGGCTTTGGAACATACCTTTGCACTGATCACCCAGGTGATGTAACTCATCTAAATTCTGCCTACAGGAGCTTTGTGACATATCTCTGCACTGATCACTTAGTTGATGTAACACTTTTATAAGCACTGCCTATAGGAAATTTTGACAAATCTCTGCACTGATCACATATGTGATGTAACCCTTGTCTACCCTCTGCCCAAAGGGGGCATTGTGAAATATCTCTGCATTGATAACCCAGGTGATTCAACTCTTGTCTAGGATCTGCCTACAGGGGGTATTGTGAAATATCTCTGCACTGATCAGCTAGGTGATGTAACTCTTGTCTTGGCTTTGCCTACATGGGCGTTTTCCCATATACCTGAACTGATGACAAAGGTGATGTAACTCTTGTCTTGGCTCTGCCTACATGGGCGTTTTCACATATCCCTGAACTGATGACAAAGGTGATGTAACTCTTGCCTAGGCTTTGCCTACAGGGGACATTGTGACATATCTCTGCACTGATGAAGTGATGAAACCCTTGTCTAGGTTCAGCCTATTGGGAATTTCTGTCATACCTATGCACTGATTACCGAGGTGATGTAAATCATTTCCAGGCTTTTTGTACAGGGGACATTGTGATATGTCTCTGCACTGATCACCCAAATGATACAAATCTTCTCTATGCTCCGCAGGGAGGCTGCATTGTGACATGTTTCTGAACTGATCATTCAGGAGATGTAACAATTCTCCAGGCTTTGACTAAAGAGCATCAGATGTTGGGAGAACCTCAGCCGGAATTTCTCGGATGGACAAGGTCACAGAGCGACCAGCGGGCTCCCTTGCACATCAGCCAGGGTGCGCAATGAGTGCAGGTCGAGCCAGGAGGCCAGCTAAGAGAGCTAGAGGTCTGCGTTCCGCCGCCAGGCCCTCCATGGTGACAGGTGGGAGGCTGCAGGGGAATGCACGGGTGGGCTACGGTGGCGTGGAGGTGCAGAGGATGCAAGCCACCAAAGGGATGTCAGGAAAGGACGCTGCGTGGGCCCGGTGTTTCGCGGGACGGGGTTCTCCACCCAGGCCATGGGAGGACGCATTTTCCGTGGGTGGGGTGTGGGAGTGGGGAGGGGGTGGTCAGGCGGTGGTGAGGTGGTGGAGAGGCATGAGAGCTCTGCCCGGGCTGCTCCCACAGCCCAGGCGGCTGCCCTCAAACCCGCACGTGCACAGTAGGCGGCCCACCTGCTGGTACCTGGGCTGGCACTGGGATCCCCGGGATGCCCAGGAAAGAATGGCAGTTCTCTGCTGTGTGGAGTCTCTCACCAGGCCTAGACCTAGAAGGCAGGAATCCCAGGCCTGTCAGCCCGGTGGAGGGGGCGGGGGGAAGACACGCCCCTCCATAGCCAGCCAGGTGTTCCCTGTGAAGGAGAGGCCACCGCCCTGCCCCGACCCGACCCCGTCCCAACCCTGTGTCCTAAAGTTCCTCCCGCAGAGCCCGGTATTCTTCCTCGCTGAGGGGTGCTTCCAGAGAGGCCGCCCCTTCCAAGGCCTCCAGCTCCCCTGGGGCCTCCGTTTCTAGGAAAGATTTTGCCTGCTGCAGAAACTCCGGGCTCTCCAGGAGCTCAACCAGCAGCAGGCCAGAGGGGAGTGCAGGTGAGCACCCCGGCTCCTGGAGCGCCCAGGAGGGTGCCGGGATGCCTAGCATCTGCCCCTGCTGGGCGGAGGCCTCTAGGGCACGGGCTGGCGAGGTGGGGCTGCCCCGGCTTGGGATTCCCACACCGCCCCGGAGACCGGTGGACACCAGCCACAGCCCCACGACGGACTCACCTGGGATGCGGTTGGCGCAAGCACACCTTAGCCCTGTGGCCCCTCCTGAGCGGGCCCAGGCTGTCCCACTGCGCAAGGGCCTGGCAATTTGTTGCGCTGTGGGTCCTGGTCCTCCCGGCTTTTACCCAGGTGTGGAGGCCACCAAGGAGCCTGAGGGTCGGAGAGCGCCCCTTCCGGAGGAGCCAGGGTGGCATAGGCAAAATCCACGCGTGCCAGGGCAGGTTGGGAGATCCCCTCTGCTGGCGCAGCCTGGCTGGGCTGGAGCACGGGGACGGCCCTCGATCCCTGTCTCACAAAAGCCCCCTGTGGGAGAGACCCAGGCGCGCAGGGCATGTGGAGTGCGGGAAGCCTCGTTCCACATGCGCCAGTGTGGGCGAAGGGGACCCACGAGGGAGCAGGGTGACACCCACCGGGGGCTGCATTGCACAGGCCGCCTGCCTGTGCGGGCACCCTGCCCACCTCTCCCGGGTGCCTGGTCCTTCGATTCTGAAACCAGATATCACTGCTGGTCTCCGGGCTGGGTGGAGACCACTGTCCCGGGAAACACCGGGCCACCCTGCGTCCAGGCCTGACACCCCTCTGGCGGCTCGCCTCATCTGTGCCTCCGCGCCACTGTCGCCGGCCCGCCCGTGACCATGCAGCCTCCCAGCTGCCACCATGGAGTGCCTGGCGGAGGAACCCAGATTTCTAGCTCTCTTTACCAGCCTCCTGGCTACACATGCGCTCATTGCGCTCCCCAGCTGACATGCAAGGGAGCCCGCTGGCCTCTCTGTGACCCTGTCCATCCGTGAAATTCCGACTAAGGCTCTCCCAACACCTTCCGATGCTCTTTAGTCAAAGCCTGGAGAATAGGTACATCTCCTGGATGATCAGTTCAGAAATGTGTCACAATGCCCCCTCCCTGCGGAGCATAGAGAAGATTTGCATCATTTGGGTGATCAGTGCAGAGATATAACACAATGTCCCCTGTACAAAAAGCCTGGAAATGATTTACATCACCTTGATGATCAGTGCATAGGTATGTCAGAAATCCCCAGTAGGCTGAACCTAGACAAGGGTTACATCACTTAGGTGATGAGTGTAGAGATATGTGAAAATTCCCGTGTAGACAGAGCCTAGACAAGTGTTACATCACCTAGTGATCAGTGCAGGGATAAGTCGTAAAGCCTCCTTTAGGCAGAGTGTAGAAAATTGTTTCCTCCCTGGGGTGATCAGTGCAGAGAAATGTCACAAGGCCCCTGTAAGCAGAACCTTGACAAGGGTTACATCACCTGTTTGATCTGCGGAAATGTATGTCACAAAGCCCCCTGTAGGCAAAACCCAGACAATTGTTACATCACCTGGGTGAGCAGTGGAGAGATCTGTCACAATGCCCCTGTAGGCAGAGCTTAGACAAGTGTTACATCACCTGGGTGATCAGTGAATAGATATGTCAAAACGCTCCTTTAGGCTGAACCTAGACAGGAGTTACATCAACCAGGTGATCAGTGCACAGATATGTGAGAATTCCTGTGTAGGGAGAACCTAGACCAGTTTTTCATCAACTAGGTTATCTGTGCAGGTATAAGTCATAAAGCCTCCTGTAGGCAAAGCGTAGACAAGAGTTCCATCCCCAGGGTGATCAGTACAGAGATGTGTCACAAAGCCCCTGTAGGCAGAGGCTAGACAATAGTTTCATCACTTCTTTGATCAGTTCAGAGATGTGTCACAATGTCCATGTAGACAGATCTAAGACAAGCGTCCATCACCTGGGTGATCAGTGCAGAGATATGTCCCGATGTCCCCTGTAGGCACTGCCTAGACAAGAGTTGCATCACCTCAGAGATCAGTGCATAGATATGTCACAAAGCCTTCTATAGACAAAGCCCATACAAGGCTAACATCACCTAGGTGATCAGTGCAGTGATATGTCACACAAATCCCTGTAGACAGACCGTAGACAAGAGTTACACCACCTGGGTGATCAGTGCAGATATTTGACACAATGCCCCCATAGACAGAGTCTAGACAAGACTTCCATCTCCTGCGTGATCAGTGCAGAGATATGTCACAAATCCCCCTCTAGGCAGAGTATAGAGAAGAGTCCCATCACCTGGGTGACCAGTGCAGAGTTACTTCACAATGTCCCCTGTAGACAGAGAGTTGACAAGAGTTACATAACCTACGTGACCTGTGCAGAGCTATATCAAAACGCCCCTGTAGGCAGATCCTATGTAAATGTTACATCACCTGGGTGATCAGTGCAGAGATACGTCACAATAGCCCCTGTAGGTGGAGCCTAGAAATGAGTTACATCACCTGGGTGATCAGTGCAGAGATATGTCACAATGTCCCCTGTAAGCTGAGCATAGAGAAGAGTTGCATCACCTGGGTGATCAGTACAGAGATATGTCACAATGGCCCCTGTTGGCAGAGCACAGAGAAGAGTTGCATCACCTGGGTGATCAGTGCAGAGATATGTCACAGTGCCCCCGTAGGCAAGGCCTAAGCAAGAGTTACATCACCTTTGTCATCAGTTCAGGGATATGTGAAAACGCCCCTGTAGGCAGAGCCTAGACAAGTGTTACATCACCTAGTTGATCAGTGCAGAGATATTTCACAATACCCCCTGTAGGCAGATCCTAGACAAGAGTTGAATCACCTGGGTGATCAGTGCAGAGATATTTCACAATGCCCCCTTTGGGCAGAGGGTAGACAAGAGATACATCACCTAGGTGATCCGTGCAGAGATTTGACAAAATTCCCTGTATGCAGTGCTTATAAAAGTGTTACATCACCTAAGTGAGCAGTGCAGAGATATGTCACAAAGCTCCTGTAGGCAGAACTTAGATGAGTTACGTCACCTGGATGATCAGTGCAAAGGTATGTCACAAAGCCCCGTGTAGGCAAAGCCTAGAATATCGTTACATCACTTGGGTGATCAGTGGTGAGATTTCTCACAGTTCACCTGTCGGCAGAGCCTATACAACAGTTACATCACCTGGGTGATCAGTGCAGAGACATGTCACAATGCCCCCATAGGCAAATCCAAGACAAGAGTCCGTCACCTGGGTGATCAGTGCAGAAATATGTCACAATGCCCCCTTAGGCAGAGCCTAGACAAAACCCCATCACCTGGATGATCAGTGCAGAGTTATGTCGCAAAGTCCCTTTAGGCAGTTCCTAGACAATGTTACATCACTTGGATAACCAGTGTAGAGATATGTCACAATGCCAATGTAGGCAGAGCGTAGACAAGATTTACATGACCTAGGTGATCAGTGCAGAGATGCATCGCAATGCCCCTGTAGCCAGAGCCTTGACAAGTGGTATATCACCTGCGTGATCATTGCAGGGATATGTCACAAGGCACCCTGTAGGCAGATCCTAGAGAAGAGTTATATCACCTGGGTGATCAGTGCAGAGATATGTCGCAAGCTCCCTGTAGGCAGAGCCTAGACAAGGGTTATATCACCTGGGTGATCAGTGCAGTGATATGTCACAATGCCGTGTAGCCAGAGCCTAGACTAAAGTTACAGCACCTGGGAGATCAGTGCAGAGATATGTTACAATGTCCCCAGTAGGCACAGACCAGACAACAGTTGGATCACCTCGGGATCAGTGCAGAGATATCTCTCAATCCCCCTGTGGGCACAGCCTAGACAATTGTTACATCACCTCGGTTAACAGTGCGGAGATATGTCAAAATGCCCCTGTAGGCAGAGCCTACACAAGGATTACATCACTTATGTGATCAGTGCAGAGATATGTCACAATACACCCTGTAAACAGAGCCTAGACAAGAGTTACATCACCTGGGTGATCAGTGCAGAGATATGTGACAAGGCCCCTTTAAGCAGAGCCTAGACAATAGTTACATCACCGGAGTGATCAGTGCAGAGATCTTTCACAATGCCCCTTTAGGCAGAGCTTAGACCACAGTTACATCATCTGGGTGATCAGTGCAGAGATATGTCACAATGCCCCCATAGGAAAATCCAAGAAAAGAGTCCGCCACATGGGTGATCAGTGTAGAAATATGTGACAATACCCCCAGGAGACAGAGCCTAGAGAAAAGTCCAATCACCTGGGTGATCAGTGCAGAGATATGTCACAAAGCCCCCATACACAGAGCATAGACAAGAATCCCATCACCTGGGTGATCAGTGCAGATATATGTCAAAATGACCCCAGAGGCAGATCCAACACAAGAGTTACATCACCTGGCTGATCAGTGCAGAGATATGTCAGAATGCTCCTCTAGGCTGAACCTAGAAATGAGTTACATGAACTGAGTGATCAGTGCAGAGATATGTGAGAATTCCCGTGTAGGCAGAGTCTAGACAAGTGTTACATCACCTAGGTTATCAGTGCAGGTATAAGTCATAAAGCCTCCTGTAGGCAGAGCATAGACAAGACTTTCCTCCCCAGGGTCATCAGTGCAGAGATGTGTCACCAAGCCCATTTAGGCAGAGCCTAGACAAGAGTTTCATCACTTGGTTGATCAGTTCAGAGATGTGTCACAATGTCCATGTAGGCAGATCTAAGACAAGAGTCCATCACCTGGGTGATCAGTGCAGAGATATGTACCAATGTCCCCTGGAGGCAGTGCCTAGACAAGAGTTGCCTCACCTCAGAGATCAGTGCATAGATATGTCACAAAGCCTTCTGTAGGCAAAGCCCATACAAGGCTAACATCACCTAGGTGATCAGTGCAGTGATATGTCACAAAAATTCCTGTAGACAGAGCCTAGAAAAGAGTTACATCACCTGGGTGATCAGTGCAGATATTTGACACAATGCCCCCATGGACAGAGCCTTGACAAGACTTCCATCACCTGGGTGATCAGTGCAGAGATATGTCACAAACCCCCTCTAGGCAGAGTAAAGAGAAGTGTCCCATCACCTGGGTGATCAGTGCAGAGATATTTCACAATGCCCCTGTAGGCTGAGAGTGGACAAGAGTTACATAACCTAGGTGATCTGTGCAGAGCTATTTCAAAACGCCCCTGTAGGCAGAGCCTAGATAAATGTTACATCACCTGGGCGATCAGTGCAAAGATACGTCACAATACCCCCTGTAGTTGGAGCCTAGACAAGAGTTACATCACCCGGGTGATCAATGAAGAGATACTTCACAATACACCCTGTAGTTGGAGCCAAGAGTTACATCACCTGGGTGATCGGTACAGAAATATGTCACAAAGCCCCTGTAGGCAGAGCCTGGAAAAGAGTTACATCACCTAGTTGATCAGTGCAGAGATATTTCACAATGTCCCCTATAGGCAAAGCCTAGGCGTGAGTTACATCACCTTTGTCATCAGTTCACGGATATGTGAAAACACCCCTGTGGGGAGAGCCTAGACAAAAGTTACATCACCTAGGTGATCAATGCAGAGATATTTCACAATATCCCCTGTAGGCAGATCCTAGACAAGAGTTGAATCACCTGGGTGATCAGTGCAGAGATATTTCACAATGCCCCCTTTGAGCAGAGTGTAGACAAGAGTTACATCACCTAGGTGATCAGTGCAGAGATTTGTTAAAATTCCCTGTAGGCAGTGCTTATAAAATTGTTATATCATATAAGTGATCAGTGCAGAGATATGTCACAAAGCTCCTGTAGGCAGAACTTAGATGAGTTATATCACCTGGGTGATCAGTGCAGAGATATTTCACAATGCCCCCTTTGAGCAGAGTGTAGACAAGAGTTACATCACCTAGGTGATCAGTGCAGAGATTTGTTAAAATTCCCTGTAGGCAGTGCTTATAAAATTGTTATATCATATAAGTGATCAGTGCAGAGATATGTCACAAAGCTCCTGTAGGCAGAACTTAGATGAGTTATATCACCTGGGTGATCAGTGCAAAGGTATGTCACATAGCCCCCTGTAGGCAAAGCCTAGACAATAGTTACATCAGTTGGGTGATCAGTGGCGATATCTCTCACAATTCCCCGGTAGGCAGAGCTTATACAACAGTTACATCAGCTGGGTGATCATTGCAGAGATATGTCACAATGCCCCCATAGGCAGATCGAAGACAAGAGTCCATCACCTGGGTGATCAGTGCAGAAATATGTCACAATGCCCACTTAGGCAGAACCTGGACAATAGCCCCATCACCTGGATGATCAGTGCAGAGTTATGTCACAAAGTTTCTTTAGGCAGATCCTAGACAAGAGTTGCATCACTTGGATGATCAGTGCAGAGATATGTCACAATTCCACTGTAGGCAGAGTCTAGACAAGAGTTACATGACCTAGGTGATTAGTGCAGAGATACAGCGTAATGTCCCTGTAGACAGGGCCTTGACAAGTGGTACATCACCTGGGTGATTATTGCATGGATATGTCACAAAGCATCCTGTAGGCAGATCCTAGAGAAGAGTTATATCACCTGGTTGATCAGTGCAGAGTTATGTCACAAGCCCCTGTAGGCAGAGCCTAGACAAGAGTTATATAACGTGGGTGATCAGTGCAGTGATATGTCACAATGCCGTGTAGCCAGAGCCTAGACTAAATTTACAGCACCTGGAAGATCAGTGCAGAGATATGTCACAATGTCCCCAGTAGGCAGAGACCAGGCAAGAGTTGGATCACCTCAGGATCAGTGCAGAGTAATGGCTCAATCCCCATGTGGGCACAGCCTAGACAAGGGTTATATCACCTCGGTTAACAGTGCAGAGATATGTCAAAATGCACCTGTAGGCATAGCCTACACAAGTGTTACATCACTTAGGTGATCAGTGTAGAGATATGTCCCAATACCCCTGTAAGCAAAGCCTAGACAAGGGTTACATCACCTGGGTGATCAGTGCAGAGATATGTGACAAGGCCCCTTTAAGCAGAGCATAGACAATAGTTACATCACCTGAGTGATCAGTGCAGAGATCTGTCACAATGCCCCTTTAGGCAGAGCTTAGACCAGAGTTACATCACCTGGGTGATCAGTGCAGGGATATGTCACAATGCTCCCATAGGCAAATCCAAGACAAGAGTCTGTCACCTGGGTGATCAGTGCAGAAATATGTGACAATGCTCCCAGTAGGCAGAGCCTAGAGAAGAGTCCCATCACCTGGGTGATCAGTGCAGAGATATTTCACAATGCCCCTGCAGGCAGAGCGCAAGCAAGCTTTACATCACCTAGATAATCAGTGCAGAGATATGTCACAAGCCCCCCTATAGGCAGTGCCTGGACAAGAGTTATATCACCTCGGTGATCAATGCAGTGATATGTCACTATGCCCCGTAGGCAGAGCCTAGTCAAGGGTTGCATCACCTGGGTGATCAGTGCAGAGATATGTCACAAAGCCCCCAAACCCAAAGCCTAGACAAGAGTCCCATCACCTGGGAGATCTGTGAAGAAATATGTCACAATGCCCCCAGAGGCAGATCCAACACAAGAGTTACATCACCTGGGTGATCAGTGTAGAGATGTCACAATGCCTGCATAGGCAGAGCCTAGACAAAAGTCCCATCACTTGGGTGATCCGTGCAGAGTGATGTCACAGCGCCCTCTGTAGGCACAGACTAGAAAATAGTTGCATCACCTCAGTGATCAGTGCGGAGATATGTCAAAATGTCTCCAGTAGGCAGAGCCTAGACAAGATTTATATCACCTGGGTGATCAGGGCAGAGATATGTCACAATGCACCCTGTTAGCAGATCCCAGACAAGAGTTGCATCACCTCGGTGATCAGTGCAGAGATATGTCTCAATGCCCCCTGTCTGCGAAGCCTATACAAGAGTTACATCATCTCGGTGATCAGTGCAGTGATATGTTAAAATGCCCCTGTAGGCCGAGCCTAGACAAGAGTTACATCACCTGGGTGATCAGTGCAGACATATGTCATAAATCCCACTGTAGGCAAAGCCTAGACAAGTTTTATATCACCTCAGCGATCAGTGCAGAGATATGTCCCAATGTCCCTCTAGGCAGAGGTTAGACAAGAGACACATCTCCTGGGTGATCAGTGCAGTGCTAAGTCACAATGCCCCAATAGGCAGAGCCTAGACAAGAGTTACATAACCAGGGTGATCCGTGAAGAGTGATGTCACAACGCCCTCTATAGGCAGAGACTAGAAACGAGTTACATCACCTGGATGATCAGTGCAGAGATATGTCACAATGCCCCCTGTAGGCAGAGCATAGAGAAGAGTTGCATCACCTGGGTGATCAGTGCAGAGATATGTCACAATGGCCCCTGTAGGCAGAGCATAGAGAAGAGTTGCATCACCTGGGTGATCAGTGCAGAGATATGTCACAATGTCCCCTGAAGGCAAAGCCTAGGCAAGAGTTACATCACCTTTGTCATCAGTTCAGGGATATGTGAAAACGCCCCTGTAGGCAGAGCCTAGACAAGAGTTACATCACCTAGTTGATCAATGCAGAGATATTTCACAATACGCCCTGAAGTCAGATCCTAGACAAGAGTTGGATCACCTGTGTGATCAGTGCAGAGATATTTCACAATGCCCCCTTTGGGCAGAGGGTAGACAAGAGTTACATCACCTAGGTGACCACTGCAGAGATTTTTCAAAATTCCCTATAGGAAGTGCTTATGAAAGTGTTACATCACCTAGATGATCAATGCAGAGATATGTCACAAGGCCCCCTATAGGCAGAGCCTGGGACAAGAGTTACATCACCTCGGTTATCAATGCAGTGATATGTCACTATGTCCTGTATGCAGAGCCTAGTCAAGCGTTGCATCACCTGGGTGATCAGTGCAGAGATATGTTCACAAAGCCCCCATACACAGAGCCTAGACAAGAGTCCCATCACCTGGGTGATCAGTGCAGAAATAGGTCACAATGCCCCCATAGGCAGATCCAACACAAGAGTTACATCACCTGGGTGATCAGTGTAGAGTTATGTCACAATGCCCCCATAGGCAGAGCCTAGACAAAAGTCCCATCACCTGGTGATCAGTGCAGAGATATGGTTTTCCGGGCAGGCCTCCTGGCTGCACCTGCTGCAGTGCACAGGCCGGCTGAGGTGTACGGGAGCCCACGGGCTGGCGGAGCTCTGTGGGCACCCGGAAACATGCAGGGAAGGGTGGAAGACAGGCATAGTCCTGCGGCCGGGGGTTGTTGGGGTGGGGGTGGAGGGTGTGGTGATGGTGGTGGTGGGGCCGGAGAGACGAAGAGGAAGGGGGCGAGGGGGAAGGGGTGAGGGGTGTGCATTTGAGGGGCTGGCTCTTCGGACCTCTCCAGGAATCCCACGGGAACTGGAAGCCGCTCTCTGGGCTCCCATGCACCTTCAGCAGGGAGAAACCCGCCTGGGAGGGTGGAGTGGAGAGTGGAACTGAACCTCCGTGGGAGTCTTGAGTGTTCCAGGCCCTCTCTCCGTGTGGGAGGCAGTGCCTGAGGGCCTACAGAGGGCGTTGTGACATCACTCTGCACGGATCACCCGGGTTATGTAACTCTTGTCTAGGCTCTGCCTATGGGGGCATTGTGACTTATCTCTGCAATGATCACCCAGGAGATGTGACTCTTGTCTAAGCTCTGCCTAGAGGGACACAGGGACACCCAGGTGATGGGACTCTTGTCTAGGCTCTGTGTATGGGGGCTTTGTGACATGTCCCAATGTCCCCGCGATGGCACTCTCGAAACCTTCGGAGGGCACCCTCCCCAGCCCCATCCCCCACCCCCGGAAAGTGTCCTCCCCTGGGCTGAGTGGCTAGACCTGCAGTCATTGCGCGCACCGGCTGACGTGCAAGGGAGCCCCCTGGCCTCTCTGTGCCCTTGTGCATCCGTGCTCAGTACAGAAATATGTCACAAAGCCCCTGTAGGCAGAGCCTAAATAAGAGTTACATCTCCTCTGTGGTCAGTGCAGAGATATGTCATAAATCCCTGTGTAGGCAAAGCCTAGAGAATTTTACATCACCTCAGCGATCAGTGCAGAGATCCGGTGACGGAGGTCCGCTTTCGCCTGCCTTCTTGCGGGCTGCGTCTCCGGGCCAGGGCCAAGATTCCCACTGATGCTGCCTCAGCTAGCGTGACCTCTCATTCTGAAACCAAATCTGGACCCTGGGCTGTGGAATGCCGATGGCCTGGGCCAGCCGTTCTCTGGTGGCGATGCCCGGGTACGGGTTCCGCTCAAAGCAGGCTTGCAGGGCCTCGCTTTGGCTCGGGGTCCAAACAAGTCTCTTTCGTCGTCCCCGGCCCCGGGCTTCCACTGGGAGGGTGCCGTCCGAAGGTGTTGGGAGGGCCATCGCGGGGAGCCCCGGCCGGAATTTCACGGACAGACACGGGCAGAGAGAGGCCGGCGGGCTCCCGTGCACCTCAGCCAGCCTGTGCACGGTGGCAAGTGCAGCCAGGAGGCCTGCCCAGACAGCCAGCCAGCGGTTCTTATAAAGGCCCGCAGTCAGGCAGGCTCCACCCCGTCATGAATGGTGGTGAGCCCTGGGACAGCCCGCCCCACCCCGGAAGGGTCCCAGGGCGTCGAGGCCTGCGGCCGGGGGCTGGTGGTGTGGGGGGGAGGGCGTGGTGATGTTGGTGGTGGGGCCAGAGAGACGAAGAGGAAGGGGGCGAGGGGGAAGGCGTGAGGGGGGCGCGTTTCAGGGATTGGCTCTCCGGGCCTCTCCAGGAATCCCGCGGGAACTGGAAGCCTCTCTCTGGGCTCCCACGAATCTTCAGCAGGGAGAAACCGGCCTGGGAGGGTGGAGGGGAGTGTGGAACTGAACTTCCGTGGGAGTCTTGAGTGTTCCAGGCCCTCTCTCCGTGAAGGAGCCAGTGCCTGTGGGTGTCGCCATTGCTGGGACAGTCTCACACACGCAGGCGTGTGGCTCTCGTTCATTTCCACGTAGGAGACAAGAGCGAGAGAAGATGCCTCCGCAGCGTGAAGGCTTGACGATGGATTCCCGTGTGCGGCAACATGGGGAGTCTGCAGGTTGGCCGGTTTGGAAACTGGCAAGGAGTGCAAAGGCACCATGGCGGCCTTCCACCCTTCCCTGCATGTTTCTGGGTGCCCGCAGACCTCCAGGAGCAAACAGTCAGCATGACACATCTCTGAACTGATCAACAAAGTGATGCAACTCTTGTCAAGGCTCTTCCTACATGGGAATTCTCAGATATCTCTGCACTGAACACCCAGATGACGGACCCTTGTCTTGGATCTGCCTATGGGGGCATTGTGACATATCTCTGCACTGAACACCCAGGTGATGTAACTGTTGTATGAGTTCTGCCTACAGGGGAATTGTGAGAGATCTCGCCACTGATCACCCAAGTCATGTAACTTTAGTCTAGGGTTTGCCTAAAGGGGGCTTTTTGACATACATTTGCACTGATCACCCAGGTGATGTAACTCATCTAAGCTCTGCCTACAGGAGCTTTGGGACATATCTCTGCACTGATGACTTAGGTGATGTAACACTTTTATAAGCACTGCTTATAGGGAATTTTGACAAATCTCTGCACTGATCACCTAGGTGATGTAACTCTTGTCTACCCTCAGCCGAAAGGGGGCATTGCGATATATCTCTGCACTGATCACCCAGGTGATTCAACTCTTGTCTTGGATCTGCCTACAGGGGTTATTGTGAAATATCTCCGCACTGATCAACTAGGTGATGTAACTCTTGTCTAGTCTCTGCCTACAGGGTCGTTTTCACATGTCCCTAAACTGATGACAAAGGTGATGTAGCCCTACTCTAGGCTCTGCCAACAGGGACGTTTTCACATATCCCTGAACTGATGACAAAGGTGGTGTAACTCTTGCCTAGGCTTTGCCTACAGGGGACATTGTGACATATCTCTGCACTGATCTCCCAGGTGCTGTAACTTTAATATAGGCTCTGGCTACACGGCATTGTGACATATCACTGCACTGATCACCCTGGTGATATAACTCTTGTCTAGGCTCTGCCTACAGGGGGCTTGTGACATATCTCTGCAGTGATCACCCAGGTGATATAACTCTTCTCTAGGATCTGCCTACAGGGTTCTTTGTGACATATCCCTGCAATGATCACCCAGGTGATATACCACTTGTGAAGGCTCTGCCTACAGGGGCATTGCGTTGTATCACGGCACTGATCACCTATGTGATGTAACCCTTGTCTAGGCTCTGCCTACAGTGGAATTGTGACATATCTCTGCACTGATCACCCAGGTGATATAACTCTTCTCTAGGATCTTTCTACAGGGTGCTTTGTGACATATCCCTGCAATGATCACCCAGGTGATGTACCACTTCTCAAGGCTCTGCCTACAGGGACATTGTGATGTATCTCTGCACTGATCACCTAGGTCATGTAATTCTTGTCTAGGCTCTGCCAACAGTGGCATTGTGACATATCTCTGCCCTGATCATCCAAGTGATGTAACCCTTGTCTAGGATCTGCCTAAAGGAATTATGTGACATAAGTCTGCACTGATCATCCAGGTGATGGGGCTTTTGTCTAGGCTCTGCCTAAGGGGGCATTGTGACATATTTCTGCACTGATCACTTAGATGACGGACTCTTGTCTTGGATCTGCCTATGGGGGCATTGGGACATATCTCTGCAATGATCACCCGGGTGATGTAACTGTTTTATAAGCTCTGCCTACAGGGGAAATGTGAGAGATCTCACCCCTGATCACCCAAGTGATGTAACTATTGTCTAGGCTTTGCCCACAGGGGGCTTTGTGACATACATTTGCACTGATCACCCAGGTGATGTAACTCATCTAAGTTCGGCCTACAGGAGCTTTGTGACATATCTCTGCACTGATCACTTAGGTGATGTAACACTTTTATAAGCACTGTCTACAGGGAATTTTGACAAATCTCTGCACTGATCTCCTAGGTGATGTAACTCTGGTCTAGGATCTGCCTACAGGGGGCATTTTGAAATATCTCTGCACTGATCGACTAGGTGGTGTACCTCTTGTCAAGGCTCTGCCTACAGAGGCGTTTTCACATATCTCTTCACTGATGACAAATGTGATGTAACATTTGCCTAGGCTTTGCCTACAGGGTACATAGTGACATATATCTGCACTGATCACCCAGGTGATGGAACTCTTCTCTATGGTTTGCCTACAGGGGTCATTGTGACATATCTCTGCACTGATCACCCAGGTGATGCAACTCTTCTCTATGCTCTGCCTACAGGGGGCATTGTGACATATCTCTGCACTGATCACCAAGGTGATGTAACTCTTTTCTAGTCTCTGCCTACAGAGGGCTTTCTGACATCACTCCGCACAGATAACCCGGGTTATGTAACTCTCGTCTAGGCTCTGTCTAGGGGGGAATTGTGACTTATTTCTGCACTGATCACCCAGGAGATATGAGTCTTGTCTAAGATATGCCTAGAGGGACATTGGGACATATCTCTGCACTGATCGCTGAGGTGATGTAAAACTTGTCTAGGCTTTGCCTACTGTGGAATTTATTACATATCTCTGCACTGATCACCCAGGTGATGTAAGTCTTTTCTAGGCTCTGCTTTCGGGGGATATTGTGAGATATCTCTGCACTGATCACCGAGGAAATGTAAGTCTTGTCTAGGCTCTGCCTACAGGGGCATTTTAACATATCACTTCACTGACTACCGAGATGATGTAACTCTTGTATAGGCTTCGCCGACAGGGGGTATTGAGATATATCTCTGCACTGATCACCGAGGTGATGCAACTCTTGTCTGGGATCTGCATACAGGGGGCATTGTGACATATCTCTGCCCTGATCACCCAGGTGATGTAACTCTTGTCTAGGCTCTGCCTACTGGAGATATTGTGACATATCTCTGCACTGATCACCCAGGTGATGTTAGTTTTCTCAAGGATATGGCTACAGGGACATTGTGATATGTCACTGCACTGATCACACAGCTGATATAACACTTTTCTAGGTTCTGGATACAGGGGTCTTGTGACACATCTCTGCACTGATCACCCAGGTGATGTAACCCTTGTCTAGGCTCTGCCAAAACGGGTTATTGTGACATAACTCTGCACTAATCACCCAGGTGATGGGACTCTTCTCTAGGCTCTGCCTACAGGGGCATTGTGACATATCTCTGCAGTGATCACGCAGGTGATGTAACTCTTGTCTATATCTGCCTACAGGCGGCATTGAGACATATTTCTGCACTGATCACCCAGGTGATGGACTCTTGTCTTGGATCTGCATACGGGGGCACAGTGACATGTCTCTGCACTGATCACTCATGTGATGTAACGCTTGTCTAAGCTGCGCCTGAAGGGGAATTGTGACAGATATGTCCACTGATCACACAGGTGATGTAACAATTTCCTGGGATTTGTCTTCAGGGGGCTTTGTGACATATCTTTGCACTGATCACCCAGGAGATATAACAACCCTTGTCTAGGCTCGGCCTACAGGGGCTTTGTGACATATTTCTTCACTGATCACCCAGGTGATGTAACTCTTGTCTAGGCTCCACGTACAGGGGGTATTGTAACGTATCTCTGCACTGATCACCCAGGTGATGTAAAATTTATCTAGGCTCTGCCTACAGGGGCGTTTTGACATAGCTCTGCACAGATCACCTATGTTATGTAACTCTTGTCCACTCTCTGCCTACAGGGGGCATTATGGAATATCTCTGTACTGATCACCCAGGTGATGGGACTCTTCTCTATACTCTGCCTAGAGGGGGATTTGTGACATATCTCTGCACTGATCACCAAGGTGATGGAAGTCTTGTCTAGGCTCTGTCTATGGACTCATTGTGTCAAATGTCTGCACTGATCACCCAGGTGATGTACTTCTTTTCCAGGCTCTGTCTACAGGGATTTTTTTGACATATCACTGCACTGATCACCTAGGTGATGTAAGCCTTGTATGGCCTTTGCCTACAGAAGGCTTTGCGAAATATCTGTGCACTGATCTCTGAGGTGATACAACTCTTGTCTAGGCACTGCCTACAGGGGACATTGGTACATATCTCTGCACTGATCACCCAGGTGATGGACTCTTGTCTTAGATCTGCCTACATGTACGTTGTGACAAATCTCTGAACTGATCAACCAAGTGATGAAACTCTTGTCTAGGCTCTGCCTACAGGGGATTTGTGACACATTTTTGCACTGATCACCCTGGGGAGGGAACTCTTGTCTACGCTCTGCCTACAGGAGGCTTTATGACTTATAGCTGCACTGATAACCTAGGTGATGTAACACTTGTCTAGGCTCTGCCTACCCGGGAATTCTCACATATCTCTGCACTTATCACCCAGGTGACGGACTCTTGACTTGGAACTGCCTATGGGGGCATTGTGACATATCTCTGCACTGATCACCCAGGTGATGTAACTGTTGTATAAGCTCTGCCTACATGGGAATTGTGAGAGATCCCGCCACTGATCACCCAACTGATGTAACTATTGTCTAGGCTTTGCCTACAGGGGGCTTTGTGACATAACTTTGCACTGATCTCCCAGGTGATGTAACTCTTCTAAGTTCTGCCTACAAGAGCTTTGTGACACATCTCTGCACTGATCACTTAGGTGATGTAAAAATTTTATAAGCACCTCCTACAGTGAATTTTGACAAATCTCTCCGCGGATCACCTAGGTGATGTAACTCTTGTCTACCCTCTGCCCAAAGGAGGCATTGTTGAATATCTCTGCACTGATCATGCAGGTGATTCAACTGTTGTCTAGGATCTGCCTACAGGGAGTATTGTGAAATATCTCTGCACTGATCAACTAGGTGATGTAACCCTTGTCCAGGCTCTGCCTACAGGTGTGTTTTCACATATCCCTGAACTGATGACAAAGGTGATGTAACTCTTGCCTAGGCTTTGCCTACAGGGGACATTGTGACATATCTCTGCAATGATCACCTAGGTGATGCAACTCTTCTCTATGCTCTGCCTACAGGGGACATTGTGACATATCTCTGCACTGATCACCCAGGTGATGCAACTCTTCTCTATGCTGTGCCTACAGGGTGCATTGTGACATATCTCTGCACTGATCACCCACGTGATGTAACTGTTTTCTAGTCTCTGCCTACAGAGGGCGTTGTGACATCACTCTGCACGTGTCATCCGGGTTATGTAACTCTCGTGTAGGCTCTGCCTACGGGGGCATTGTGACTTATCTCTGTACTGATCACCCAGGAGATGTGACACTTGTCTAAGCTCTGCCTAGAGGGACATTCGGATATATCTCTGCAGTGATCGCTGAGGTGATGTAAAACTTCTCTAGGCTATGCCTACAGTGGGATTTATGACATATCTCAGCACTGATCACACAGGTGATGTAACTGTGGTCTAGGCACTGCTTACAGTGGGTATTGTGAGATAACTCTTCACTGATCACCCAGGTGATGTAACTCTTGTCTAGGCTCCACCTACAGGGGCATTTTAACACATCACCGCACTGATCACCGAGATGATGTATCTCTTGTATAGGCATTGCCGACAGGGGGCATTGAGACATATCTCTGCACTCATCACCGAGGTGAAGCAACTCTTGTCTGGGATGTGCTTACAAGGGGCATTGTGACATATCTCTGCCCTGATCACCCAGGTGATGTAACTCTTGCCTAGGCTATGCCTACTGGAGACATTGTGACATATCTCCGCATTGATCACTCAGGTGATGTCACTTTTCTCAAGGATAAGGCTACAGGGACATTGTGACATGTCACTGCACTGATCACACAGATGACTTAACTCTTGTCTAGGCTCTGGCTACAGGGGTCGTGTGACACATCTCTGCACTGATCACCCAGGTGATGGGACTCTTGTCTAGGCTCTGCCTACAGGGACATTGTGACATATCTCTGCAGTGATCACGCAGGTGATGTAACTCTTGTCTATGTCTGCCTCATGGCGGCATTGTGGCATATTTCTGCACTGATCACCCAGGTGATGGACTCTTGTCTTGGATCTGCCTATGGGGGCAAAGTGACATATCTCTGCACTGATCACTTATGTGACGTAACGCTTGTCTAAGCTGCACATGAAGGGGAATTGTGACAGATATCTCCACTGATCACCCAGGTGATGTAACAATTTTCTGGGATTTGTCTACAGGGGCTTTGTGACATATCTTTGCACTGATCACGCAGGAGATGTAACAACTCTTGTCTAGACTCTGCCTACAGGGGCTTTGTGACATATCTCTTCACTGATCACCCAGTTGATGTAACTATTGTCTAGGCTCCACCTACAGGGGGTATTGTTACGTATCTCTGCACTGATCACCCAGGTGACGTAACATTTATCTAGGCTCTGCCTACACGGGCGTTTTGACATAGCTCAGCAGAGATCACCTAGGTTATGTAACTCTTGTCCACTCTCTGCCTACAGGGGGCATTGTGAAATATCTCTGCTCTGATCACCCAGGTGATGGGACTCTTCTCTATACTCTGCCTAGAGGGGGATTTGTGACATATCTCTGCACTGATCACCAAGGTGATGGAGGTCTTGTCTAGGCTCAGTCTATGGGGGCATTGTGTCAAATATTGGCACTGATCACCCAGGTGATGTACCTTTTTTCTAGGCTCTGTCTACAGGGATTTTTTCTGACATATCACTGCATTGATCACCTAGGTGATGTAAGCCTTGTATGGGCTTTGCCTACAGAAGGCTTTGTGAAATATCTGCACTGATCTCTGAGGTGATGCAACTCTTGTCTAGGCACTGCCTACAGGGGAGATTGGTACATATCTCTGCACTGATCACCCAGGTGATGGACTCTTGTCTTAGATCTGCCTACATGGACATTGTGACACACCTCTGAACTGATCAACCAAGTGATGAAACTCTTGTCTAGGCTCTGCCTACAGGGGATTTGTGACACATCTCTGCACTGATCACCCTGGGGAGGGAACTCTTGTCTACGCTCTGACTACAGGAGGTTTTATGACTTATACCTGCACTGATAACGTAGGTGATGTAACACTTGTCTAGGCTCTGCCTACACGGGAATTTTCACATATCTCTGCACTGATCACCCAGGTGACGGACTCTTGTCTTGGATCGGCCTAAGGGGGCATTGTGACATATCTCTGCACTGATCACCCAGGTGATGTAACTGTTATATAAGCTCTGCCTACAGGGGAATTGTGAGAGATCTCGCCACTGATCACCCAACTGATGTAACTACTGTCTAGGCTTTGCCTACATAGGGCCTTGTGATATACCTTTGCACTGATCTCCCAGGTGATATAACTCATCTAATTTATGCCTACAGGAGCTTTGTGACATATCTCTGCACTGATCACTTAGGTGATGTAACACTTTTATAAGCACTGCCTACAGGGAATTTTGACAAATCTCTGCACGGATCACATAGGTGATGTAAATCTTGTCTACCCTCTGCCCAAAGAGGGCATTGTGAAATATCTCTGCACTGATCACCCAGGTGATTCAACTCTTCTGTAGGATCTGCCTACAGGGGGTATTGTGAAACGTCTCTGCACTGATCGACTAGGAGATGTAACTCTTGTCTAGGCTCTGCCTAAAGGGGCGCTTTCACATATCCCTGAACTGATGACAAAGGTGGTGTAACTCTTGCCTAGGCCTTGCCTACAGGGGACATTGTGACATATCTCTGCACTGATCACCCAGGTGATGCAACTCTTCCCTATGCTCTGCCTACAGGGGGCATTGTGACATATCTCTGCACTGATCACCCAGGTGATGCAACTCTTCTCTATGCTCTGCCTTCACGGGGCATTGTGACATAACTCTGCACTGATCACCCAGGTGATGGGACACTTGTCTAGGCTCTGCCTACAGGGACATTGTGACATCTCTCTGCAGTGTTAACGCAGGTGATGTAACTCTTTTCTATATCTGCCTACTGGCGGCATTGTGGCATATATCTGCAATGATCACCCAGGTGATGGACTCTTGTCTTGGATCTGCATATGGGGGCATCGTGACATATCTATGCACTGATCACTCATGTGATGTAACGCTTGTCTAATCTGCGCCTGAAGGGGAATTGTGACAGATATCTCCACTGATCACCCAGGTGATGTAACTATTTCCTGGGATTTGTCTTCAGGGGGCTTTGTGACATATCTTTGCACTGATCACCCAGGAGATGTAACAACTCTTGTCTAGGATTGGCCT
Source organism: Homo sapiens (assembly GCF_000001405.40). Lineage (NCBI taxonomy): Eukaryota > Metazoa > Chordata > Mammalia > Primates > Hominidae > Homo > Homo sapiens. The sequence goes on along the minus strand of NT_167211.2, from coordinate 152,344 downwards.
ACAGGGGCTTTGTGATATATTTCTGCACAGATCACCCAGGTGATGTAAGTCTTGTTTAGGCTCTGCCTACAGGGGCTTTGTGACATATCTCTGCGCTGATCACGCAGTTGATGTAACTCTTGTCCAGGCTCCACCTACGGGGGTATTATGAAGTATATCTGCACTGATCACCCAGGTGATGTAACATTTATCTAGGCTCTGCCTACACGAGCGTTTTGACATACCTCTGGACAGATCACCTCAGTTATGTAACTCTTGTCCACTCTCTGCCTACAGGGGGCATTGTGAAATATCTCTGCACTGATCACCCAGGTGATGCGACTCTTCTCTATACTCTGCCTAGAGGGGGATTTGTGACATATCTCTGCACTGATCACCAAGGTGATTGAAGTCTTGTCTAGGCTCTGTCTATGGCTGCATTTTGTCAAATGACTGCACCGATCACCCAGGAGATGTACCTCTTTTCTAGTCTCTGTCTACAGGGATTTGTGTGACATATCATTGCACTGATCACCTAGGTGATGTAAGCCTTGTATGGGCTTTGCCTACATAAGGCTTTGTGAAATATCTCTGCACTGATCTCTGAGGTGATGCAACTCTTGTCTAGGCACTGCCTACAGGGGACTTTGGTACATATCTCTGCACTGATCACCCAGGTGATGGACTCTTGTCTTAGATCTGCCTACATGGACATTGTGACACATCTCTGAACTGATCAACCAAGTGATGAAACTCTTGTCTATCCTCTGCGTACAGGGGCTTTGCGACACATCTCTGCACTGATCACCCTGGGGAGGGAACTCTTTTCTATGCTCTGACTACAAGAGGCTTTATGACTTATACCTGCATTGATAACCTAGGTGATGTAACACTTGTCTAGGCTCTGCCTACACGGGAATTCTCACATATTTCTGCACTGATCACCCAGGTGACGGATTCTTGTCTTGGATCTGCCTATGGGGGCATTGTGACATATCTCTGCATTGATCCCCCAGGTGAAGTAACTGTTGTATAAGCTCTGCCTACAGGGGATTTGTGAGAGATCTCGCCACTGATCACCCAAGTGATGTAACGATTTTCTAGGCTTTGCCTACAGGGGGCTTTGTGGCATACTTTTGCACTGATCTCCCAGGTGATGTAACTCATCTAAGTTATGCCTACAGGAGCTTTGTGACATATCTCTGCACTGATAACTTAGGTGATGTAACACTTTTATCAGCACTGCCTACAGGGAATTTTGACAAATCTCTGCACGGATCACATAGGGGATGTAAATCTTGTCTACCCTCTGCCCAAAGGGGGCATTGTGAAATATATCTGCACTGATCACCCAGGTGATTCAATTTTTGTCTAGGATCTGCCTACAGGGGGTATTGTGAAATATCTCTGCACTGATCAACTAGGTGATGTAACTATTTTCTAGGCTCTGCCTACAGGGGCGTTTTCACATATCCCTGAACTGATGACAAAGGTGATGTAACTCTTGCCTAGGCTTTGCCTATAGAGGACACTGTGACATATCTCTGCAGTGATTGCCCAGGTGATGCAACTGTTCTCTATGCTCTGCCTACAGGGGACATTTTGACATATTCCTGCACTGATCACCCAGGTGATGCAACTCTTCTCTATGCTCAGCCTACAGGGGGCATTGTGACATATCTCTGCACTGTTCACCCAGGTGATGTAACCCTTTTCCACTCTCTGCCTACAGAGGGCGTTGTGACATCACTCTGCACGGATCACCGGGGTTATGTAACTCTCGTCTAGGCTCTGCCTACTGGGGCATTGTGACTTATCTCTGCACTGATCACCCAGGAGATGTGACTCTTTTCTAAGCTCTGCCTAGAGGGACATTGGGACATATCTCTGCACTGATCGCTGAGGTGATGTAAAATTGTCTAGGCTTTGTCTACAGTGAGATTGATGACATATCTCGGCACTGATCACCTAGGTGATGTAACTGTTGTCTAGGCTCTGCTTACAGTGGGTATTGTGAGATATCTGTGCACTGATCACCCAGGTGATGTAACTCTTGTCTAGGCTCTGCCTACAGGGGCATTTCAACATATCACTGCACTGATCACCGAGATGATGTAACTCTTTTATAGGCTTCGCCGACAGGGGGCATTGAGACATATCTCTGCACTGATAACCGAGGTGATGCAACTTTTTTCTGGGATCTGCTTACAGGGGGCATTGTGACATATCTCTCTCCTGATCACCCAGGTGATGTAACTCTTGTCTAAGCTCGGCCTATTGGAGACATTGTGACATATCTCCGCACTGATCATCCAGGTGATGTCACTTTTCTCAAGGATATGGCTACAGGGACATTGTGACATGTCACTGCACTGATCACACAGCTGCATTAACTATTTTCTAGGCTCTGGCTACCAGGGTCTTTTGACACATCTCTGCACTGATTACCCAGGTGATATAACCCTTTTCTAGGCTCCGTCAAGAGGGGGCATTGTGACATAACTCTGCACTGATCACCCAGGTGATGTAACTCTTTTCTAGGATCTGCCTACAGGGTGCTTTGTGACATATCCCTGCAATGATCACCCAGGTGATGTACCACTTCTCAAGGCTCTGCCTACAGGGACATTGCAATGTATCTCTGCACTGATCACCAAGGTCATGTAACTCTTGTCTAGGCTCTGCCTACAGTGGCATTGTGACATATCTCTGCACTGATCATCCAAGTGATGTAACCCTTGTCTAGGATCTGCCTAAAGGGACTTTGTGACATAAGTCTGCACTGATCATCCAGGTGATGGGGCTTTTGTCTAGGCTCTGCCTAAGGGGGCATTGTGACATATTTCTGCACTGATCACCCAGGTGACGGACTCTTGTCTTGGATCTGCCTATGGGGGTACTGTGACATATCTCTGCACTGATCACCCAGGTGATGAAACTTTTGTATAAGCTCTGCCTACAGGGGAATTGTGAGAGATCTCGCCACTGATCACCCAAGTGATGTAACTATTGTATAGTCTTTGCCTACAGAGGGTTTTGTGACATACCTTTGCTCTGATCACCCAGGTGATGTAACTCATCTATGTTCTACCTACAGGAGCTTTATGACGTATCTCTGCACTGATCACTTATGTAACACTTTTATAAGCACTGCCTACAGGGAATTTTGAAAAATCTCTGCACTGATCACATAGGTGATGTAACTCTTGTCTACCCTCTGCCCAAAGGGGGCATTGTGAAATATCTCTGCACTAATCACCCAGGTGATTCACCTCTTGTCTAGGATTTGCCTACAGGGGTTATTGTGAAATATCTCTGCACTGATCATCTAGGTGATGTAACTCTTGTCTATGGTCTGCCTACAGGGGCGTTTTCACATATCCCTGAACTGATGACAAAGGTGATGTAACTCTTGCCTAGGCTTTGCCTAGAGGGGACATTGTGACATATCTCTGCACTGATCACCCAGGTGATGCAACTCTTCTCTATGCTCTGCCTACAGGGGACATTGTGTTATATCACTGCACTGATCACCCAGGTGATGCAACTCTTCTCTATGCTCTGCCTTCAGGGGGCATTGTGACATAACTCTGCACTGATTACCCATGTGATGTAACTCTTTTCTAGTCTCTGCTACAGAAGGCATTGTGACATCACTCTGCACGGGACACCCGGGTTATGTAACTCTTGTCTAGGCTCTGCCTATGGGGGCATTTTGACATATCTCTACACTGATAACCCAGGTGATGTAACTATTGTATAAGCTCTGCTTACAGGGGAATTGTGAGAGATCTCGCCACTGATCACCCAAGTGATGTATCCATTGTCCAGGCTTTGCCTACAGGGGCCTTTTTGACATAGCTTTGCACTGATCACCCAGGTGATGTAACACATCTAAGTTCTGCCTACAGGAGCTTTTTGACATATATCTGCATTGATCACTTAGGTGATGTAACATTTTTATAAGCACTGCCTACAGGGAATTTTGAAAAATCTCTGCACTGATCACATAGGTGATGTAACTCCTGTCTACCCTCTACCCAAAGGGGGCATTGTGAAATATCTCTGCACTAATCACCCAGGTGATTCAACTCTTGTCTAGGATTTGCCTACAGGGGTTATTGTGAAATATCTCTGCACTGATCATCTAGGTGATGTAACTCTTGTCTATGGTCTGCCTACAGGGGCGTTTTCACATATCCCTGAACTGATGACAAAGGTGATGTAACTCTTGCCTAGGCTTTGCCTAGAGGGGACATTGTGACATATCTCTGCACTGATCACCCAGGTGATGCAACTCTGGCCTAGCTTTTGCCTACAGGGGACATTGTGACATACATCTGCACTGATCACCCAGGTGATGCAACTCTTCTCTATGCTCTGCTTACAGGGGACATTGTGACATATCTCTGCACTGATCACCCATGTGATGCAACTCTTCTTTATGCTCTGTCTACAGGGGACATTGTGACATATCTGTGCACTGATCACCCAGGTGATGTGTTTTGTAGTCTCTGCCTACAGAGGGCGTTGTGACATCATTCTCCACGGATCACCTGGATTATGTAACTCTTTTGTACGCTCTTCCTATGGGGGCATTGTGACTTATCTCTGCACAGATCACCCAGGAGATGTGACTCTTGTCTAAGCTCTGCCTAGAGGGACATTGGGACATATCTCTGCAGTGATCGCTGAGGTGATGTAAAATTGTCTAGGCTTTGCCTACACTGGGATTCGTTACATATCACTGCACTGATCACCCAGGTGATGTAACTCTTGTCTGGGCTCTGCTTACAGGGGATATTGTGAGATATCTCTGCACTGATCACCCAGGTGATGCAACTCTTGTCTAGGCTCTGCCTACAGGGGCATTTTAACATATCACTGCACTGATCACCGATAAGATGTAACTCTTGTATAGGCTTCGCCAACAGGGGGCATTGAGACATATCTCTGCAATGATCACCGAGGTGATGCAACTCTTGTTTGGGATCTGCCTACAGGGGGCATTGTGACATATCTCTGCCCTGATCACCCAGGTGATGTAACTCTTGTCTTGGCCTGTCTACTGGAGACATTGTGACATATCTCCGCACTGATCACCCAGGTGATGTCACTTTTGTCAAAGATATGGCTACAGGGACATTGTGACATGTCACTGCACTGATCACACAGCTGATGTAACTCTTGTCTAGGCTCTGGCTACAGGGGGCTTGTGACACTTCTCTGCACTGATCACCCAGGTGATGTAACTCTTGTCTAGGCTCTGCCAAAAGGGGGCATTGTGACATACCTCTGCACTGATCACCCAGGTGATGGGACTCTTGTCTAGGCTCTGCCTACAGGGGCATTGTGACATATCTCTGCACTGATAACACAGGTGATGTAACACTTGTCTATATCTGCCTACTGGCAGCATTGTGGCATATTTCTGCACTGATCACCCAGGTGATGGACTCTTGTCTTGGATCTGCCTATGGGGGCATAGTGACATATATCTGCACTGATCACTCAAGTAATGCTTGACTAAGCTGTGCCTAAAGGGGAATTGTGACAGATATCTTCACTGATCACCCAGGTGAAGTAACAATTTTCTGGGATTTGTCTACAGGGGGCTTTGTGACATATCTTTGCACTGATCACCCAGGAGATGTAACTCTTGTCTAGGCTCGGCCTACATGGGCTTGTGACATATTTCTGCACTGATCACCCAGGAAATGTAACTCTTGTTCAGGCCCTGCCTACAGGGCTTTGTGACATATTTCTGTACTGATCACCCAGGTGATGTTACTCTTGTCTAGTCTCCTCCTACCGGGGTTATTGTGACGTATCTCTGCACTGATCACCCAGGTGATGTAACATTTATCTAGGCTCTGCCTACAGGGGCGTTTTGACATAGCTCTGCACAGATCACCTAGGTTACGTAACTCTTGTCCACTCTCTGCCTACAGGGGGCAGTGTGAAATATCTCTGCACTGATCACCCAGGTGATGGGACCCTTCTCTATACTCTGCCTGGAGGGGATTTGTGATATATCTCTGCACTGATCACCCAGGTGATGGAAGTCTTGTCTAGGCTCTGTCTACAGGGATTTTTGTGACATATCACTGCACTTATAACCTAGGTGACATAAGCCTTGTATGGGCTTTGCCTACAGAAGGCTTTGTGACATATCTATGCACTGATCTCTGAGGTGATGCAACTCTTGTCTAGGCACTGCCTACAGGGGACATTGGTACATATCTCTGCTTGGATCACCCAGGTGATGGACTCTTGTCTTCAATCTGCCTACATGGACATTGTGACATATCTTTGAACTGATTAACCATGTGATGAAACTCTTGTCTAGGCTCTGCCTACAGGGGCTTTGTGACACACCCCTGCACTGATCACCCTGTGGAGGGAACTCTTGTCTACTCTCTGCCTACAGGAGGCTTTATGGCTTATACCTACAATGATAACCTATGTGATGTAACAGTTGTCTAGGCTCTGACTACATGGAAATTCTCACATATCTCTGCACTGATCACCCGGGTGATGGAACTCCTGTCTAGTTTCAGCCTACAGGAGCGTTTTGACATATCTCTGCACTGATCACCCAGGTGATGTAACCCTTGTTTAAGCTCTATCTACAGGGGCATTGTGACAGATCTCTCCACTGCTCACCCAGGTGATGTAACACTTGTCTGGGCTTGGCCTACAGGGAGCATTGTGATGTACATTTCCACTGATCAAACAGGTGATGTAACCCTTAAGGTTCTGCTTACAAGGGCTTTGTGACATATCTCTGCACTGATCGCCCCAGGGAGGAAACAATTGTCTACACTCTACCTACAGGAGGCTTTACGACTTATCCCTGCACTGATCACTAGGTGATTTAACACTTGTCTTGGCTCTGTCTACACGGGAATTTTCACATATCTCTACACTGATCACCTAAGTGATTTAACCCTTGTCTAGGTTCAGCCTACTGGGGATTTCTGACATACCTATGCACTGATCACCGAGGTGATGTAAATCTTTTCCAGGCTTTTTGTACAGGGGACATTGTGATATATCTCTGCACTGATCACCCAAATTATGCAAATCTTCTCTAGGCTCCACAGGGAGGGGACATTGTGACATATTTCTGAACTGATCATCCAGGAGATGTAACTATTCTCCAGGCTTTGACTAAAGAGCGTTGGAATGTGTTGGGAGAGCCTCAGTTGGAATTTCATGGATGGACAAGGGCACAGAGAGGCCAGCGAGTTCCCTTGCACGTCAGCCAGGGTGCGCAATGAGCGCAGGTCTAGCCAGGAGGCTGGAAAAGAGAGCTAGAGGTCTGCGTTCCACAAGCAGGCACTCCATGGTGGTAGCTGGGAGGCTGCAGGGTCACGGGCGTGCTGGCGACGGTGGCGGGGAGGAGTAGAGGGGGCGAGCCACCAGAGGGGTGTCAGGCCTGGACGCAGCTCAGGCCCGGTGTTTCGCGGGATGGGTGTATCCACTCAGCCCAGGGGAGGACGCATTTTCCGGGGGAAGGCAGTGGGGGTGGGGAGGGGGTGGTCAGGCGTGGTTGTGGTGGTGGAAAGGCATGAGAGCTCCGCCCGGGCTGCTCCCACAGCCCAGGTGGCTGCCTGCAAAACCGCATGTGCGCAGTAGGCGGCCCACCTGCTGGTACCTGGGCCAGCTCTGATATCCCCGGGATGCCCAGGAAAGAATGGCAGTTCTCCGCTTTGTGGAGTCTCTCACCGGGCCTAGACCTAGAAGGCAGGAATCCCAGGCCGGTCTGCCTGGTGGAATGGGCGGGGTGAAGACACGCCCATCCATAGCCAGCCAGGTGTTCCCTGCGAAAGAGAGGCCACCGCCCCGCCCCGACCCGACCCCGTTCCAACCCCGTGTCCTAAAGCTCCTCCAGCAGAGCACGGTATTCTTCCTCGCTGAGGGGCTCTTCCAGTGAGGTGGCCTCTTCCAAGGCCTCCGGCTACCCTGGGGCCTCCGTTTCTAGGAATGGTTGTGCCTGCTGCAGAAATTCCGGGCTCGCCAGGAGCTCATCCAGCAGCTGGCCGGAGGGGAGTGCAGAAGAGCGCCCCAGCTCCCGGAGCACCTGGGAGAGCGCCGGGATGCCTTGCATCTGCCCCTGCTGTGGGGAGGCCTCTGGAGGCATGGGCTGGTGAGGTGGAGCTGCCCCAGCTTGGGGTTCCCATGCCACCCCGGCGACCTTGGGACCCCGGCCCAGCCCCACCACGGACTCACCTGGGACGCGGGTGGCGCAAGCTCACCTTGGCCCTGTGGCCCCGTTGAGCTGGCCCAGGCTGTCCCACAGCGCAAGGACCCGGCCGGCCGTCTCTCTGTGGGTCCCGGTTCTCCCGGCTTTTGCCCAGGTGCGGAGGCCACTGAGGAGCCTGAGGGTGGGAGAGCGCCCCTTCTGGAGGAACTGGGGTGGCGTAGGCAAAATCCCCGCATGCCAGGGTAGGTTGGGAGATCCCCTCTGCCGGCGCGGCTTGGCTGGGCTGGAGCACAGGGACGGCCCTCACTCCCTGTCTCAAGAAAGCCTCCTGTGGAAGAGCCCCAGGCGTGCATTACACGTGGTGTGCAAGAAGCCCTGTTCCCCACACACCGGTGTGGGCGAAGGCGACACACGAGGGATCAGGGTGACACCCAATGGCGGCCGAGTTGCACAGGCCGCCTGCCTGCGCGGACACCCTGCCAGCCTGTCCCAGGTGCCTGGCCCTTCGATTCTGAAACCAGATCTGAATCCTGTACTCCGGGAGGCCCGTCTCTCTTGCCAGCTCTTCCCTGGCGGCAATACCTGGAAAGCGATCCTTCTCAAAGGCTCGGAGGAGCCAGTCGTCTGGGATCAGGTGCCGGCGGTTCGCTTTTGCCTGCCTTCTTGAGGGCCGTGTCTTCCGGGCCAGGGCCGAGATTCCCACTGGTGCTGCCTCAGTTGGCATGACCTCTCATTCTGAAACCAAAACTGGACCCTGGGCTCCGGAATGCCGATGGCCTGGGCCAGCTGTTCTCTGGTCGTAATGCCCGGGTACGGGTTCCACTCAAATCAGGCTCACAGGGCCTCGCTTTGGCTCAGGGTCCAAACGAGTCTCCTTTGCTGTCCCCGTCCCCGGGCTTCCGCGGGGAGGGTGCTGTCTGAAGGTGTCGGGAGGGACATCGCGGGGATCACCGGCCGGAATTTCATGGACGGACACGGGCAGAGAGAGGCCGGCGGGTTCCCGTGCACCTCAGCCGGCCTGTGCACTGCGGCACGTGCAGCCAGGAGGCCTGCCCGGACAGCCAGCCAGCGGCTCTTATAAAGGCCTGCAGGCAGGCAGGCTCCACCACTTCATGAATGGCGGTGAGCCCTGGGACAGCCCGGGACAGCCCGCCCCACCCCGGAATGTTCCCAGGGCGTCGAGGCCCTGGGGTGGAGGGCGTGGTGATGGTGGGGCCGGAGAAACGAAGAGGAAGGGGGCGAGAGGGAAGGTGTGAGGGGGGCGCGTATCGGGGGCTGTCTCTCCGGACCTCTCCAGGAATCCCGCGGGAACTGGAAGCCTCTCTCTGGGCTCCCAGAGATTCAACTCTTCCCTAGGATCTGCCTACAGGGGCGTTTTCACATATCCCTAAACTGATGAAAAAGGTGATGTAACTCGTACCTAGGCTTTGCTTACAGGGGACATTGTGACATATCTCTGCATTGATCTCCCAGGTGATGCAACTCTTCTCTGTGCTCTGCCTAGAGGGGACACTGTGACATATCTCTGCACTGATAACCCAGGTGATGTAAACCTTTTCTAGTCTCTGCCTACAGAGGGCGTTGTGACATCACTCTGCACGGATCACCCGGGTTATGTAACTCTTGTCTAGGCTCTGTCTATGGGGGCATTGTGACATATCTCTGCACTGATCACCCAGGAGATGTGACTCTTGTCTAAGCTCTGCCTAGAGGGACATTGAGACATATCTCTGCACTGATCGCTGAGGTGATGTAAAACTTGTCTAGGCTTTGCCTACAGTGGGATTTATGAAATATCTCTGCACTGATCACCCAGGTGATGTAACTCTTGTCTAGGCTCTACTTAGCGGGCGTATTGTGAGATATCTCTGCACTGAAAACCCAGGAGATGAAACTCTTGTCTAGTCTCTGCCTATGGGGGGAATTTAACAAATCACTGCACTGATCACCGAGATGATGTAACTCTTGTATAGGCTTTGCCAACAGGGGGCATTGAGATATATCTCTGCACTGATCACCGAGGTGATGCAACTCTTGTCTGGGATCTGCTTACAGTGGACATTGTGACATATCTCTGCCCTGATCACCCTGGTGATGTAACTCTTGTCTAGGCTCTGCCTACTCGAGACATTGTGACATATCTCCGCACTGATCACCCAGGTGATGTCACTTTTGTCAAAGATACGGCAAGAGGGATATTGTGACATGTCACTGCACTGATCATACAGCTGATGTAACCCTTGTCTAGGCTCTGGCTACAGGGGGCTTGTGACACATCTCTGCACTTATCACCCAGGTGATGTAACCCTTCTCTAGGCTCTGCCAAAAGGGGGCATTGTGACCTAACTCTGCACTGATCACCCAGGTGACGGGACTCTTGTCTAGGCTCTGCCTGTAGGGGCATTGTGACATATCTCTGCAGTGATCACGCAGGTGATGTAACTATTGCCTATATCTGCCTACTGGCAGCATTGTGGCATACTTCTGCACTGATCACCCAGGTGATGGACTCTTGTCTTGGATCTGCCTATGGGGGCATAGTGACATATCTCTGCACTGATCACCGAGGTGATGCAACTATTGTCTGGGCTCTCCTTCCAGGGGGCATTGTGACATATCTCTGCCCTGATCACCCAGGTGATGTAACTCATTTCTAGGTTCCGTCTACAGAGGCTTTTTGACATATCTCTGAAGTGATCACCGAGGTGATGTAACTCTTGTCTAGGCATTGCTTACAGTGTGCATTGCAACATATCTCTGCACTGATCAGTCAGGTGATGCAATTCTTCTCTAGGCTCTGCCTACAGTGTGCATTGTGACATATCTCTGCACTGATCTCCCCGATGATGTAAACTTTGCCTAGGCTCTGGCCACACGGCATTGTGACATATCACTGCACTGATCACCCATGTGATATAACTCTTGTCTAGGCTCTGCCTACAGTGGCATTGTGACATATCTCTGCACTGATCACCCAGGTGATATAACTCTTGTCTAGGATCTGCGTAAATGGACTTTGTGACATAACCCTGCACTGATCATCCAGGTGATGGGGCTTTTGTCTAGGCTCTGCCCACGAGGGCATTCTGACGTATTTCTGTACTGAACACCCAGGTGACGGACTCTTGTCTTGCATCTGCTTATGGGGGCATTGTGACATATCTCTGCACTGATCACCCAGGTGATGTAACTGTTGTATAAGCTCTTCCTACAGGGGAATTGTGAGAGATGTCTTTACTGATCCCCCAAGTAATGTAACTATTGTCTAGGCTTTGCCTACAGGGGGCTTTGTGACATAACTTTGCACTGATCACCCAGGTGATGTAACTCATTTAAGCTCTGCCTACAGGGGCTTTGTGACATATCTCTGCACTTATCACTCCTGGCGAGAGAATTCTTGGCTAGGCTCTGCCTACAGGGAGCTTTGTGACATATATCTCTGCACTGATCACCTAGGTGATGTAACACTTTTATAAGCTCTGTCTACAGGGAATTTTGACAAACCTCTGCACTGATCACCTAGGTGATTTAACACGTCTCTACCCTCTGCCTACAGGAGGCAATGTGAAAAATCTCTGCACTGATCACCCAGGTGATGCAAGTCTTCTCTAAGATCTGTCTACAGTGGGTATTCTGAAATATCTCAGCACTGATCACCTAGGTGATGTAACTTTTTTCTACCCTCTGCCTACAGGGGGCAATGTGAAAAATCTCTGCACTGATCACCCAGGTGATGCAAGTCTTGTCTAGGATCTGCCTAAAGGGGCATTTTAAAATATCTCTGAACTGATGGCAAAGATGATGTAACTCTTGCCTAGGCTCTGCCTACAGGGGACATTGTGACATATCTCTGCACTGATCACCCAGGTGATGTAACTCTTGTCTAGGCTCTGCCTACAGGGGCATTTTAACACATCACTGCACTGATCACTGAGGTGATGCAACTCTTGTCTGGGATCTGCCCACAGAGGGCATTGTGACATATCTCTGACGTGATCACGCAGGTGATGTTACTCTTGTCTAGGCTGTGCCTAATGGAGACATTGTGATAGACATTGTGACTTATCTCTGCACTGATCACCCAGCTGATGTAACTCTTGTCTAGGCTCTGGCCACAGGGACATAGTGACATATCTCTGCACTGATCTCTCAGGTGAGGTAACTCTTGTCTAGTCTCTGCCTACAGAGGGCGTTGTGACATCACTCTGCAATGATCACCCAGGTGATGTAACCCTTGTCTAGGCTCTGCCTACATGGACATTGTGACATGTCTCTGCACTGATCACCAAGGTGATGTAAATTTTGTCTGGGCTCTGCCCACAGGTGCATTTTGACATATCTCTGCACTGATCCCGAGGTGATCCAAATCTTTTCTAGGCTCTGCCTACTGGGGACATTGTGACATATCTCTGCACTGATCTCCCAGGTGATGAAACTTTTGTCTAGGCTCTGGCTACACGGCATTGTGACATATCACTGCACTTATCACCCAGGTGATATAACTCTTGTCTAGGCTCTGCCTGCAGGGGGCTTGTGACATATCTCTGCACTGCTCACCCAGGTGATGTAACTCTTGTCTAGGATCTGCCTACAGGGTGCTTTGTGACATATCCCTGCAATGATCACCCAGGTGATGTACCACCTGTCAAGGCTCTGCCTACAGAGGCATTGTGATGTATCTCTGCACTGATCACCTAGGTCATGTAACTCTTTTCTAGACTCTGCCTACACTGGCATTGTGTCATATCCCTGCACTGATCACCCAGGTTATGTAACTGTTGTCTAGGATCTGCCTACAGGGTGCTTTGTGACATATGCCTGCAATTATCACCCAGGTGATGTACCACTTGTCAAGGCTCTGCCTACAGGGGGATTGTGATGTATCTCTGCACTGATCACCTGGGTCATGTAACTCTTGCCTAGGCTCTGCCTACAGTGGCATTGTGACATATCTCTGCACTGATCACCCAACTGATGTAACTATTGTCTAGGATCTGCCTAAAGGGTCTTTGTGACATAACTCTGCCCTCATCATCCAGGTGATGGGGCTTTTGTCTAGGCTCTGTCTACGGGGGCATTGTGACGTATTTCTGCTCTGATCACCCAGGTGACAGACTCTTGTCTTGCATCTGCCTATGGGGGCATTATGACATATCTCTGCACTGATCACCGAGGAGATGTAACTGTTGTATAAGCTCTGCCTACTTGTGAGTTGTGAGAAATCTCTCCACTGATCACCCAAGTGATTTAACTATTGTATTGGCTTTTCCTGCAGTGGGCTTTGTGACATATCTGTGCACTGATTACCCAGGTGATGTAAGTCATCTAAGCTCTGCCTACAGGGGCCTTGTGACTTATCTCTGACCTGATCACTCCCGGCGTGGGAATTCTTGTCTAGGCTCTGCCTACAGGGGGCTTTGTGACACATCTCTGCACTGATCACCTAGGCGATGTAATAGTTTTATAAGCTCTGCCTACAGGGAATTTTCACAAATCTCTGCACTGATCACCTAGATGATGTACCTCTTGTCTACCCTCTGCCTACAGGGGGCATTTTGATATAGCTCTGCACTGATCACCCAGGTGATGCAACTCTTCTCTAGGATCTGCCTAAAGGGGGTATTGTGAAACATCTCTGCACTGATCAACTAGGTGATGTAACTCTTGTCTAGGCTCTGCCTACAGGGGCATTTTGACATATCTCTGAACTGATGACAAAGGTGATGTAACTCTTGCCTAGGCTTTGACTACAGGGGATATCCTGACATATCTCTGCACTGATCACCCAGGTGATGCAACTCTTCTCTAGGCTCTGCCTACAGGGGACTTTGTGACATATCTCTGCACTGATCAACTAGGTGATGTAACTGTTGTCCAGGCTCTGCCTATGGGGGCATTGTGACGTATCTCTGCACTTATCAATCCGGAGATGTGACACTTTTCTAAGCTCTGCCTACAGGGGCATTGGGAGACGTCTCTGCACTGATCACTGAGGTTATTTAAAACTTGTCTAGGCTTTGCCTACGGTAGGATTTTTGACGTATCTCTGCACTGATCACCCAGTTGATGTAACTCTTGTCTAGACTTTGCCTACAGGGGGTATTTTGAGATATCTCTGCACTGATCACCGAGGTGATGTAACTCATATCTAGGCTCTGCCTACTGGAGACATGGTGACATATCTCTGCATTGATCACCCAGATGATGTAACTCTTGTCTAGGCTGTGGCCACAGGGACATATTGACATATATCTGTGCTGATCACCTATGTGATGTAACTCATGACTAATCTTTGCCTACAGAGGGCGTTGTGACATATCTCTGCACTGATCTCTCAGGTGAGGTAACTCTTGTCTAGTCTCTACCTACAGAGGTCGTAGTGACATCACTCTGCAATGATCACCCAGGTGATGTAACACTTGTCTAGGCTCTGCCTACATGGACATTGTGACATGTCTCAGCACTGATCACCCAGGTGATGTAAATTTTGTCTAGGCTCTGCTCACAGGAGCATTTTGACATATCTCTGCACTGATCACCGAGATGATGTAACTCTTCTCTGGGCTTTGCCTACAGGAGGCATTGAGACATACCTCTGCACTGATCACCGAGGTGATGCAACTCTTGTCTGGGCTCTGCCTGCAGGGGGCATTGTGACATATCTCTGTCCTGATCACCCAGGTGATGTAACTCTTGTCTGGGCTCTGCCTACATGGGGTATTGTGACATATCTCTGCACTGATCTCCTAGGTGATGTAACTCTTTTGTAGGGTCTGCCTACAGGTTCGTTTTGATATGCCTCTGAAGTGATCACAGAGGTGATGTAAATCTTTTCTAGGCTTTGCCAACAGAGGGTATTGTAACATATCTCTGCAATGATCACACAGGTGATTTAACCCTTTTCTAGCCTCTGTCTACAGGGAAATTGTGACATATCACTGCACTGATCACCCAGGAGATGTAACTCTTCTCTAGTCTGTACTTTCAGGGGGCTTTGTGGCATACCTCTGCACTGATCTACTAGGCGATGTAACTCTTTTCTAGGCTTTTCCCAGAGGGGGCATTGTTATATTTCTCTGCACTGATCACCCAGGTAATGCAACTCTTTTCTACGCTCTACCTACAATGGCTTTGTGACATGTCACTACACTGATCACACAGGTGATGGGACTCTTGTCTACGCTCTGCCTACAGGGGTCTTTGTGACATATCTCTGCACTGATCACTCAGGTGATGGAACTATTTTCTATACTCTGCCTAGAGGTGGATTCATGACATATCTCTGCACTGATAACCTAGGTGATGGAATTCTTGTCTAGGCTCTGTCTATGGGGTCATTGTGTCAAATATCTGCACTGATCACTCAGGTGATGTAATTCTTGTCTAGGCTCTGTCTACAGGGATTTTTGTGACATATCACTGCACTGATCACCTAGATGATGTAACTCTTGTCTAGGCTCTGCCTACAGAGGAATTTTGACCTATCACTGCACTGATCACCCAGGTGATGTAACTTTTGTCTAGGCTCTGCCTATAGGGGGAATACTGACATATCTCTGCACTGATCACTCAGGTGATGTAACTATTGTCTAGGCTCTGCTTAAAGGGGCCTTGTCACATACCTCTGCACTGATCACCCAGGTGATGTAACTCTTGTCTAGGCTCTGCTTACCAACCTGCTCCCGAAAGAATACTGGGGAAATAATGAAATCAAGGCAGAGATAAAGATGTTCTTAGAAACCAATGAGAACAAAGACAAAACATAGCAGTATCTCTGGGACACATTCAAAGCAGTGTGTAGAGGGAAATTTATACCACTAAATGCCCACAAGAGAAAGCAGGAAAGATCTAAAATTGACACCCTAACATCACAATTAAAAGAGCTAGAAAAGCAAGAGCAAACACATTGAAAAGCTAGCAGAAGGCAAGGAATAACTAAGATCAGAGCAGAACTGAAGGAAATAGAGACATAAAAAACCCCTCAAAAAATTAAGGAATCCAGAGATTGCTTTTTTTGAAAAGATCAACAAAATTGATAGACCGCTACCAAGACTAATAAAAAAGAAAAGAGAGAAGAATCAAATAGATGCAATAAAAAATTACAAAAGGGATATCACCACTGATCCCACAGAAATACAATCTACCATCAGAGAATACTATAAACACCTCTACGCAAATAAACTAGAAAATCTAGAAGAAATGGATAAATTCCTCGACACATACATCCTCCCAAGACTAAACCAGGAAGAAGATGAATCTCTGAATAGACCAATAACAGGAGCTGAAATTGTGGAAATAATCAATAGCTTACCAACAAAAAAGAGTCCAGGACCAGATGGAATCATAGCCGAATTCTACCAGAGGTACATAGAGAGGGTGGTACCATCCTTTCTGAAACTATTCCAAACAACAGAAAAAAGAGGAAATCCTCCCTAACTCATCTTATGAGGCCAGCATCATCCTGATACCAAAGCCGGGCAGAGACACAACCAAAAAAGAGAATTTTAGACCAATATCCTTGATGAACATTGATGCAAAAATCCTCAATAAAATACTGGTAAACCCAATCCAGCAGAACATCAAAAAGCTTATTCACCATGATCAAGTGAGCTTCATCCCTGGGATGCAAGGCTGGTTCAACATACACAAATCAATAAATGTAATCCAGCATATAAACAGAACCAAAGACAAAAACCAAATGATTATCTCAATAGATGCAGAAAAGGCCTCTGACGAAATTCAACAACACTTCATGCTAAAAACTCTCAATAAATTAGGTATGGATGGGATGTATCTCAAAATAATACGAGCTATCTATGACAAACCCACAGCCAATATCATACTGAATGGGAAAAAACTGGAAGCATTCCCTTTGAAAATGGGCACAAGACAGGGATGCCTTCTCTCACCACTCCTATTCAACATAGTGTTGGAAGTTCTGGCCAGGGCAATTAGGCAGGAGAAGGAAATAAAGCATATTCGATTAGGAAAAGAGGAAGTCAAATTGTCCCTGTTTGCAGATGACATGATTGTATATGTAGAAAACCCCATTGTCTCAGCCCAAAATCTCCTCAAGCTGATAAGCAACTTCAGCAAAGTCTCAGGATAGAAAATCAATGTGCAAAAATCACAAGCATTCTTATACACCAATAACAGACAAACAGAGAGCCAAATCATGAGTGAACTCTCATTCACAATTGCTTCAAAGAGAGTAAAATACCTAGAAATCCAACTTACAAGGGATGTGAAGGACCTCTTCAAGGAGAACTACAAACCACTGCTCAATGAAATAAAAGAGGATACAAACAAATGGAAGAACATTCCATGCTCATGGGTAGGAAGAATCAATATCGTGAAAATGGCCATACTGCCCAAGGTAATTTATAGATTAAATGCCATCCCCATCAAGCTACCAATGACTTTCTTCGCAGAATTGGAAAAAACTACTTTCAAGTTCATATGCAACCAATAAATAGCCTTAATCTCCAAGTCAATCCTAAGCCAAAAGAACAAAGCTGGAGGCATCACGCTACCTGACTTCAAACTATACTGCAAGGCTACAGTAAGCAAAACAGCATGGTGCTGGTACCAAAACAGAGATATAGACCAATGGAACAAAACACAGCCCTCAGAAATAATGCCACATATCTACAACTATCTGATCTTTGACAAACCTGACAAAAGCAAGCAATGGGGAAAGGATTCCCTATTTAATAAATGGTGCTGGGAAAACCGGCTAGCCATATGTAGAAAGCTGAAACTGGATCCCTTCTTTACACCTCATACAAAAATTAATTCAAGATGGATTAAAGACTTACATGTTAGACCTAAAACCATAAAAAAAAAGAAAAAAACCTAGGCAATACCATTCAGGACATAGGCTTGGGCAAGGACCTCATGTCTAAGACACCAAAAGCAATGGCAACAAAAGCCAAAATTGACAAATGGGATCTAATTAAACTAAAAAGCTTCTGCACGGCAAAAGAAACTCCCATCAGAGTGAACAGGCAACCTACAGAATGGGAGAAAATTTTTGCAACCTACTCATCTGACAAGGGGCAAATATCCAGAATCTACAATGAACTCAAACAAATTTACAAGAAAAAAACAAACAAACAACCCCATCAAAAAGTGGGCCAAGGATATGAACAGACACTTCTCAAAAGAAGACATTTATGCAGCCAAAACACACATGAAAAAATGCTCATCATCACTGGCCATCAGAGAATTGCAAATCAAAACCACAATGAGATACCATCTCACACCATTTACAATGGCGTTCATTAAAAAGTCAGGAAACAACAGGTGCTGGGGAGGATGTGGAGAAATAGGAACACTTTTACACTGTTGTTGGGACTGTAAACTACTTCAACCATTGTGGAAGTCAGTGTGGCGATTCCTTAGGGATCTAGAACTAGAAATAACATTTGTCCCAGCCATCCCATTACTAGATATGTACCCAAGGGATTATAAATCATACTGCTATAAAGACACATACACACCTATGTTTATTGCGCACTATTCACAATAGCAAAGACTTGGAACCAACCTATACGTCCAACAATGATAGACTGGATTAAGAAAATCTGGCACAAATACACCATGGTATACTATATGGCGATAAAAAAGGATGAGTTCGTGTCCTTTGTAGGGACATGGATGAAGATGGAAACCATCATTCTCAGCAAACTATCGCAAGGACAAAAAACCAAACACCACATGTTCTCACTCATAGGTGGGAATTGAACAATGAGAACACATGGACACAGGAAGGGGAACATCACACACTGGGGACTGTTGTGGGGTGGGGGTAGAGGGAAGGGATAGCATTAGGAGATGTGCCTAATGCTAAATGACGAGTTAATGGGAGCAGCACACCAACATGGCACATGTATACATATGTAACAAACCTGCACGTTGTACACATGTACCCTAAAACTTAAAGTATAATAATAATAAAATTAAAAAAAAAGAAACTGTGTGAACAAGGAATTCTTTGTCACATCTGTGCTTTGGTCAGTAATAGACCAGCAAGCAATTCATTCAGTCATTGTGGGTGTGGATCCAGGAGGACTTCCTGCGTCCATGGAAGGGATCATCCCTGGAGGCATCCCAGTGACTCACAACCTCCCGACAGTGGCACATACTTCCCAAGCGCCCTCTCCCAACCAGCCCACAATCACGGGGACAATTGAGAGCACCCCAACGAGAAATAGTAGAGAATGCCGGAAGGTAATCATTTTGATACACTTGGGAACAAGGACAGTGAAAAATAGATGTACTAAGAGAAAAAGAATCTGACGCTCTTTTTAGCTGATTCTGGACATATGCATCATTGATGTTGCAGTGTAAAAACTACAAGAGTTAGAAAACTGAAGATGTCGTCTGTTTATGGAAGCTCTGAAAGACTAGGGTGTGATTTATTAACGACCAGCTTCCGTTATTGTGTGTTAAGTTTTTGATATGTGCGTCAAATCACAAAGAATAAATAGTCCTTTTTCCTTTATCAGTCCCTGGGGCACAGCAGGTCAGGAACATCCTGCTCAGAATGTTGCATCAAGACTTCAAACATCAAAATAAAAGCCATGAGGAGGAAATCCACATCTTGTCACTTGAGTCCCTTCAGTCTACAGGGACTGGTTACAGCTTTTTGCTAAAAGGAAGATCACATTACTAGAAAATGTGGAGTAAACTGTTTGCCTGTGGTAGACACCTGCACGCGTAGGATTGAAGACAGTACCGGCTCCTGTACAGAGAAGCGTCTCTCACATCTGAACTGCATGCTGAGTGGGCAAGTTGGTTGTAAGTTCAGTAAAAGCCTCCGATAATGCAAAAAAAAAAAAAACAGTATTAAGTTTCACAAGCTGTTTGTAATCAAAAATATTTTCTCAGTTTCAGATGCTCTGCTATTTTATTGAGTGGAAAGTCTTGCACTAAAAAGATTCAAGAAAAATAATGTTGCTTTTCCTTATGTCACAGGAAACACTTTTAATGGTAACTTGTCAGATTGTCTATGAACAAATGCACTTTTTAAGACACTGATGAAGTCTTCTTTTATTCACGTTGTATTTTATACAAGAACACTTCAGATGTATTGGATGTGACTGATTTTAACAAATCCTATTTGATTTGCATCGATTGGTTACATGTTCTGTTCATAGTCTTTTGTGAATCATTGCCTTTTTGTTTAAAAAGATGGCCTATTTTGATCTTTTGATTAGGTACATTCCTGTTTTTGTGACAAAAGAAAAACTTTAAAATTGTCACAAACAGAAAAATAATGGCTATCAGAAGTATACTTTGTTTTAGTGCGAGTTACCGTTACTGTAGTTGTTTATTGTAAAGATGGACATTTAGCATTCAGTGCAGTTTTCAATAAAATGTAACTAGGAAAAAACTGCTTAATTAACAAAAACAGAGCATAGACAACAAAATAATATTAGAAGTGATACATAAAGAAAACGAGATATCAACAAAATGATTTTTAGAAACCAACAAAAACTGTGTATCTGAATAACACGATAACTGTATTAAAATTTCAATCAACAGTCACAAAAGCAGACTAATAAAGCAGAAAAAATCATACAACTGATGTCACTGTAGTTATAAATACTGAGTCATGAAAACAAATTATTTAAACAGAATAGAGAAAAAAATATGGGACGTACTGCACACCATCAAGTAGACCTTTGTATTTATAAAAGGAGTCTTAGAAAAACAATACAGCAGAAAAGTAATAAAGAGATTATTTTTAAAAAGTAGCTGAGAAATCCCCAGATGACAAGGTAATTAAACAAGAAGATATACTGCCAAAGAAAAACCTTCAACTGGAATAATTTCACTTCAGAAATAAAAAAATAAGCCTTTCCAAAATAAATAAAAGTTGAGTGTGTTACTAACCACTAGATCAATCCTAAAGGAAATGTAAAACAAAGTCTATCAAGTCCAAAAATGAAATGATGCTGCACAGCATCATAACAGCATATGAAAATAGAAAGTGCTATATTAAAGGTAAATATATAAACAGGTATAGAAATCTCTATCTACTGTCATAATGATGGTGCACAAAATTTTCAAAATATTGCTATGGAGTTTAAAAAATGAAGCACAAATCTGCATAAATGTGTGTTCATAGATACACAATAAGAAAAGATAATATGTGATATTAATAACACAGTGGGGGTATGAAAAGGTACAACTTTGCGTTCAGTTGAAATATGGTTGTTATATATTGTCATAACTGTAAGATGATTTATGAAGTCTTTATTTCTCAAGATGATTACCAAAAAAACCTGTAGACCTCTCGTCATCCTCCCCCTGCTACACTCCCACTAGCGCCACCACAGTTTACAAATGCCATGGCAATATCAGAAATTTACCCTACATGGTCTTAAGAAAAAAAAAAAAGGAGGCACGAATAATCCACCCCTTGTTTAGCATATTATCTAGAAATAACCATAAGAATGGGTAACCAGCAGCCCTTGGGCTGCTCTGTCTATAGAGTAGCCATTCTTTTATTCTTCTACTTTCTTAATAAACTTGCTATCACTTTACTCTATGGACTCGCCCTGAATTCTTTCTTGCACCAGATCCAATAACCCTCTCTTGGAGTCTAGATCAGGATTCCTTTCCTATAACAGAAGGATGGGAAACAACTGGAACCTTCATCAACAGCTGGCAGAGTGTAAACTGATACAGCCACTGCAAAATTTTTAGCAGTATCTCCTAAAACTGTACGTACACTCTATAAAGCACTTGCACTCCCAGATACAGATCAAATTAAAGTACACAAGTGTGCACCAAAAGTACAAGAAATTTCAGGGCCGGGCACAGTGGCTCATGCCTGTAATTCCAGCACTTTGGGAGGCCGAGGCAGGCAGATCACCTGAGGTCAGGAGTTCGAGACCAGCCCGGCCAATATGGCAAAACCCTGTCTCTACTAAAAAAATAATTAGCCAGACGTGGTGGTGGGCACTGTAATCCCAGCTTCTTGGGAGGCTCAGGCAGGGAGAATGGCTTGAACCCAGGAGGTGGAGGTTGCAGTGAGCTGAGATTGTGCCATTGCACTCCAGCCTGGGCGACAAGAGCAAGACTCTATCTCCAAAAAAAAAAAGAAAGAAAGAAAGAAAGAAAGTTTATAATGGCATTACTCATAATGGACTCAAGCTTGGAAGAACCTAATGTCAGCCACCAGCAGAACAGATAAACATATTGTGCAATATTAGTAAAGCTGAATGCGCACAACAATAAACAAACCACAGCCATGTGCAACACCATGCATAGAGCTCACAAGCCTAAAGCTGAGAAAAGAAGCCAAAAGAAAAGATCCTATTTATAAAGCAAATAATAGGAAAACTAATCTATAGTGTAAAAAGTCAGAATAGGAGATAACTTTTGCTTGAGCCCAGTAGATTGAGCTGGGTGTGGCATGTGTGCCTCCTGTCCCAGCTACTCAGGAGGCTAAGGTGGGAGGATCGCTTGAGCCAGGGAGATTGAGGCTGCAGTGAGCCATGATCATGCCACTGCACTCCAGCTGGGGTGACAGAGCAAGACTCTGTCTCAAAAGACAAGATGGTCATTTTAGGCCAGGCGTGGTGGCTCATACCTGTAATCCCAGCACTTTGGGAAGCCAAGGCGGGCAGATCACCCTGTCTTGGGAGGAGGTAAGAGCAGCAACTAAAAGGAAACAGAAGAGAGACTTCTGGGTTGCTGGTCATATCCATTTCTTAGGTGTTAACTATGTGAAAATTTTGAGTTGTACATTCATGATCTCCTTACCTGTATGCCTCTTATACCACAATAAAAAAATTAAGTATGAGACTAACATAATAGAGCTTAAAATGTGCAGAAATTGAGGGAGCTCGCCCAAGGAAACCATTACTAAACAGATACTAAAAGATTTCAGACAGGAGGAAAATGATCCCAAGTGGAAGATCTGGGATATAAGAAGAAATGAAGAGCAGGAAAAAGACAGGTGAATATATGGATAAAACTAAACAAATGTGAAATGTATAAAACAATAGAAGTAATGTCCCATGAAATATAAAAAGAAAAATGATAAAATATATCAAAACAAATTTGATGGATCACAAGAAAATTATGCTGAATAAAAAAATTCAATCTCAAAATATTAGACAGTGTATGGTTTCATTTACATGTGTTCTTGAAATAAAGTTACAGAGATGAAAAACACATTAGTGGTTGCCAGGGGTCAGGGAGTGAGGAACGTGTTTGTGACTATAAAATGGGTAGCAAAAGGGATCCATCCTTCTGATGGAACTCTTCTATATCTTGACGATGGTGATGGTGATTAGGTATCTAATCTATGTACACGATAAAATTTCATAGAACTAAATACACAAAAAAACCTAAAAGTGCACATAAAACTGGTAAAATCTGAACAAGGTAGTTATGCAAGACGTTACCATTGGGAGAAACTGAGTGAAGACTATATGGGATTTCTTTATATTATTTCTTAAAAGCACCTGTGAATCTGCAATAATGTCAAAACAAAAAGTTGAAAATATACTGTTGTAGCATAACTCAAGAGGAGTTTAATGCAATGAAAGTATTCTTAAGTTATCCTATCACCCAGGAAGAGGATAAATTTTCAACTTTCATAACTTAAATATGCACATTTAAATTAGCATGACAGTTACTAAAAGAATATAAACAAAGACTAACTTAAAATGACTAGAGAAAAAATATCACACCAATTGAAAAGAAGGCAAGAAAGGAAAAAATAAACATAAGTAGGATAAATAGAAAGTGACAAAATGACACAAACACATATGCATGTACATACACACCACTCACAATCTATACAGAATCCAAGTATGTCAGAATACAAATACATGCAAATGGACTAACTAATCCAGTTAAAGATGGATAAATTGTGAAAATCCCATTCCATGCTATTTATAAGTCATATTTAAAATATAAAGATATAGAATGATTTTAAAAGGTATTAAAATACGTATCAGAGGAGCCGGACTTGGCGGCACATGCCTATAATCCCAGTTACTCAGGAAGCAGAAGCGAGAGGATCACTTGAGACCAAGAGCTCAAGACCAGTCTGGGCAATATAGCCAAACTCTATCTCTAAATAAATAAAAACAATTATTTGGCAGTGGTGGCACACATCACTCTAAAGACTGAGGTAGGAGGATCATTTGAGCCCAGGAGTTTAAGGCAGCAGGGAGCCACAGACACGTCTGTGAACAGCCCCTGCACTATAGCCTGGGCAGCACAGTGGAAAAAAAAATACACACACACACACACACACACGTGAAAGATACACAGTGCAAAGTCTAACCAAAGTTACTATAGCTATATCATACATAATGTTGAAAGCATACATAAATGAAGGAAAACATTTCATTTTGATAAAAGTTCAAATTAAAAAAAAGATGTATAATTTTTGAATCATATGCACCCAAGTACAGCCTCAAAAAGCAAAAGTTGACAGATGAGGAGACAGACAAATCCATGCTTCTAGTAGGATATTTAATATATCTCTCAGTAAATAAAGTATAAAAATAATTAAGGAGGATGAAGATTTAAAATTATGAAAAAATAGACTCAATGCACACATACAGAACATGAGATTTAACTGCAGAAATAGACTTCCCTTCAAGAAAATTTGGACAAGTTCAAAAATTAACCACATATACGAGTGTTTAAACAAGTAACAAATTTCAAAGAAAGTGGACAGATCACAATTTCTGGTAACAATTTTAGAAACTTTCTAAAAGTATACTTTTAAATAGCCCATAGCTTGAAGATAAAATAAGGCAAATTCATCATCAATTCTACATATTAAAAACTGTAGGATATAATTAAATCCATTCATAAGGGGAAAATTATAGTCTATTATTTTTTTTTGAGATGGGGTCTCACTATGTCACCCCGGCTGGAGTGCAGTAGCACAATCTTGGCTTACTACCCTCCACCTCCTGGGCTCAAGTGAGCCTCCCACTTCAGCCTCCCGAGTAGCTGGGACCACAGGCTCACACAACCACGCCTGGCTAATTTTGTGTGTGTTTGGTAGAGATAAAGTTTCACCATGCTGTCCAGGCTGGGGAAATTTATAGTCTTAAATGAGAACATTAGAAAAGGAACTTGGAAAAAACATCAACAGACTAGGCACAGTGGCTCACGCCTGTAATCCCAGCACTTTGGGAGGCCAAGGCAGGTGGATCATGAGGTCAAGAGATCGAGACAATCCTGCCCAACATGGTAAAACCCCATCTCTACAAAAAATACAAAAATTAGCTGGGTGTGGTGGCGCACACCTGTAGTCCCAGCTACTCGGGAGGCTGAGGCAGGAGAATTGCTTGAACCCAGGAGCTGGAGGTTGCAGTGAGCTGAGATTGTGCCACTGCACTCCAGCCTGGTGAAAGAGTGAGACTACGTCTCAAAAAAAAAAAAAAAAAAAAACCCTAAGCATCAGTCAATAAATCAGACAAAGAACAAGTTAAATTCAAAGATAGAAAAAGGAAAAACGTAACAAACAAATGAAATACAAAAGAAACACACAATAGAATCAGCCAAGCTAAAACTTGTGGTTTTTTTGGTTTTCAGATAGATAGGGTCTCATTCTGTTGCCCAGGCTGGAGTGTAGTGGCTCAGTCACAGCTTAGAACAGTCTCCCCCTTACAGGCTCAAGTGATCCTCCCACCTTTGCCTCACTAAGTGCTGGGATTACAGGTATGAGCCACCATGCCCTGCTAAAATCTGGTTCTTTAAAAATACATTATAAAATTCACAGACCTTTAGCAAGATTTGTCAAGAAAAAGCAATCAAAAAACAATCTTGCACAGGAGGACTGTACTACAGATAGAAAGACTCTGAAAGGAAGTCATAACTTGCAGGCCAAGAACGATGGCTCACACCTGTAATCCCAGCACTTTGGGAGACTTAAGTGGGAGGAATGCTCAAGTTCAGGAGTTTGAGACCAGCCTGGGCAACATGGCAAAAGCCCTTCTCTACCAAAAATACAAAAATTAGCTGGGCATGGTGGCAAGTGCCTGTGGTCCCAGCTACTAGGGAGGCTGAAGCAAGATGGTGGCTTGAGCCTGGGAGGTGGAGGCTGCAGTGAGCCACGATTGCACC
Organism: Homo sapiens; assembly: GCF_000001405.40. Classification (NCBI taxonomy): domain Eukaryota; kingdom Metazoa; phylum Chordata; class Mammalia; order Primates; family Hominidae; genus Homo; species Homo sapiens. The sequence goes on along the minus strand of NT_167211.2, from coordinate 126,042 downwards.
ACTGTACTCCAGCCTGGGCAACAGAGTGAGACCCTGTCTCAAATAAACAAATTCATAATGTAAAATTATGAATACATTTATGCCAACAGACTTTAAACCATAGATGAAAAGTCTTTTTTTTTGAGACAAGGTCTCATTCTGTCACCCAGGCTGGAGTGCAGTGGCACAATCACAGTTCACTGCAGTCTCGACCTTCCAGGCTCAAATGATCCTCCCACCTCAGCATCCCAAGTAGCTCACACTACAGGCACCCACCAACACACCAAGCTAATTTTTTTTTGTAGAGATGGAGTCTCACTATATTGCCCAGGCTGGTCTTGAACTACTGTAGTCAAGTGGTCCTCCCACCTGAGCCTCCCAAAGTGCTGGGATTACAAGCATAAGCCACCATACTTGGTGAGATATGAATTTCTAGGAAAAAAAATCGAAATTCACTCAAAAAATAGAAAAAAAACTTACATAGATTAAATATATTGAATCAGTAATGAAAAAACTTCCCATAAAGAAATTCCCAGGCCCAAGTGCCTTCACCAAAAAGTTCCATGAAACATACAAGAGAAACCAACCAACCAAACAAAAAAAAACTCTGCCACTAACACAAACAGAGAATAAAAAAAGAAGACTCCCCAGTTCATTTTACAAGGTTAAAATAAAAATAACCTTGATATCAAAACCCAACAAGGCAAGTGCAAGAAAAAATATTTACAGGCCATCATTATTCAACGTGGATCAGAAATTATTTTTAAGATGTACTGGCCAGGTGTGGTGGTCATGCCTATAATCCTAGTATTTTGGGAGGTCCGGGTGAGAGGATAGCCTGAGCTCAGGAGTTTGAGACCAGCCTGGGCAACTAGGCAAAATCCCATCTTTATAAAAAATACAAAAATTAGCTGGGCATGGCAGCACACCTATAGACCAGCTATTCGGGAGGCTGAGGTGGGAGGATCACTTGAGCCTAGCAGGTTGAGAATGCAGTGATCCCTGATCATGTCACTGTGCTCCAGCCTGGGCAACAGAGTGAGACCCTGTCTCAAAACAACAACAGAAAGATATACTGACCACCTGTGATGCTGGCCAGGATGGCGTACGCATGCTACGGCATGTCATTTCCACTGATCACAATTTGAAACTCTGGACAAAATATAAATAGCAATGACCCAAGTACTCTGAAAAGTAACCAGCAGACAGGTTGGGAAACGTCAAAACCTGAAGAATTATCTGGATGGCGGTGGTGAGAGATCATATTCTGGGTCATAAAACAAACCCTAAAGTTAAACAATTAAAATTCAGTGAATTATTTTCTCTGATGACAGAATTAAACTAGGAATCTAGAACATTTCTAGAACATCCCCTAATATGAGAAGTTAAATGGCTTACTTCTAAATGGCCCATAGGTCAAAGAGAGTATCTTAAGACAAATTGGAAAACAGTTTGAACTTAATAAATATGACATCATCTTATCAAAATGTGTGCTTACAGGGCAATTTATTTACTTCAAGTAAAAAAAGAACCAAATAAACTCAAATCAGGCATAAGGAAAACAGACTAAATCAGTAATATTTAAACAAAAACAGTAAAGGAAAAAAATTCAACGAAATCCAAAGTTGGTTCTTTGCAGGGGTGGTGGGAGGTGGAAATCAATAAAATGAGGAAGCCTCTAGCAGACTGACAAAGGAAGAAGAGAAAACACAAATTGCCAATACCAGAAATGAAAGGAATATTATTACAAATCCTGTAGACACTAGAAGGCTATAATGGATACTACAAAAACAAAACAAACAAGTATGTGCTTCTAAATTCTACAAATTAGGTGAAATAGATCAATTCCTTGAAAGACAGACTAACAAAACTCAAGAAGAAACAGACAGCTTGAATACCCCTGTATTTATTAAAGAAACAGAAGTGGCACAGCACTTTGGAAGACAATTTGGCAGGTTCTGATAAAGTCAAACGTACATGTGACTCGGCAATCCTACCCTTAGGCATTTGCACAAGTGAAATGAAAACCTATGCTCAGACAAAAAGCACTTTGTGAATTCCAATCCACTTATAGTTTACCAAAAAGTGAAAATAGTCCATATTCCTCCAATGACAAACCAATAAGCAAACCATGTAGTATTTATACAATGGATTACTATTTGGCAATAATAAGGAATAACTGTTGATACAGTACATGAAAGTAGCCAGACTCAAAAGGCTACATACTGAACGATTCCATTTGTATAAAATTCTGAAAAAAAGCAATGCTAGAGGAACACAGATCAGTGATTGCCAGAATTTACAATGGAAGGCTTTACTATAAAGGGCAAGGTAATTTTTGGAGTGATCATATAATTTTGTAATCTACCAAAAACAAACATAATAAATGGGCAGATAAGTAAAGTTCACGGATTGGAAAGTTCAATATTGCAAAGGTCTCCCAAAAATGACCTATCAATTTAATCCCAGTGGAAATTCCAATCAGTTTTGTGAAGGCTGCTAAGTCAACTCTAAAATGGCCAAGAATCGACAAGATCACCGGAGAGGAAGCAGGGAGGTGGACACAAGTATCTTCTGATTGATGAGTGAAATCATTAGAAGGCTAGCAAAAATACAAGTAAGCCAGAATTTCTAAAGCACCACAAAAGAACACTAGTTAGTACTGCATATAGGTATCTCCCAAATTTGTTGTAAACATAGGCCTTTAAAAAATATTAGAAACTGATATTTAAAGAGATATAAACTCATATTAAGCTTTTAAAAAATTCTAAGCAAGGGCCTCACCTAATTTCATAAAAGGTTGTGTAGAACCAACCATTGCTTCAAACGATGTGCTGCCCTGAGATGTGAGGCTCCCAGTGGTCCCTCTGGGTCAACAGCAGCTACCTCAGCTGAGCCCAAACTCTGACACATTATCTATCTACAATCATTATTTTTAACAATTTATATCAATGCTACCCGTAAGGCACAGAGAAGCAGAAAAGTTTATGTGACCTCCTGCCAAAAACAATCACTTGCACTTATTTCTAGGTCTACTACAGAAGACAGTATTAGAAGTTTTTCAATTTAGAAAAACATTTACAGCAAAGAAAAAAATCTCTGTAAATTTCCCGCTTAACCAATCTAGTGAATTATGATGAGCTATATAAATTCATTTAGCCACCTTATGAAAGACTTAATCCAAAGTCACTTCTAACTTCTAGAAGAGCTAATGTATTATAATAACAGTTGTGAAAGACTCAAAGGCCAGAAATGTCAAGGTGTGGTCTATATCCTAAGTCCAGAAAAAAAACAAAAAGCCACATGTACAGGCCAAATGATTGCCAATTTCTTCTGCCTATGTCATCTTTCTTCACTATAGCCTGAAATTACATTTCATGTTTGACAATTCTCAGCAAGGAGACAAAACAAGCTTATGAGTAAAATAATAGAAAGCAGAGCCACAGAGAGTATGAGAGGCAGGAGTCATCTCCCAAGTCCAAGTTCAACTTCTATATTATTAGACAGGGCCTCAGTGTCTTTGAACTGCAAGGAATTAATATTGATTGTAGCATGAGTAAAACCTATCTTCTACTCATCATGAAAAGTCACAGTCGTTTTGTTTAAAGACTCCAGAATTATTATAGGCAGAAACAAGAAGGTTACACACCTATTTGGTGAAACGAGGAATCAGGAATTCCCAAGAGAATACAATTACAAAAGTAAAATCACCTAGAGTTTTTGGGCTGATTAAAAAACCCAGAAAGAAGTGCCAAATGAGAAAATAATCAAATTCAGTGGAAAAACTCACTTGAAGGTATCATGGTCAGCTGGGTTTCCACCCCTTTGTTGCACTTCAAATCCTGTCTATTCCACAAAGACTTGCTCCTTTCTAAAGGCTATGGTTGACGTTCAACAGAATAGCAGCAACCACCATGAGCCTGAGGGCTGGCTAGTCTTTAGTATTCTGCCTTATTCAAAGAAACGATCATTTCCCTCATTCCTAAAAATCTCCCAGGTCCATTACAAAAAAAGCAGCAGCAGCCAGGCGCAGTGGCTCACCCCTGTAATCCCAGCACTTTGAGAGGCCAAGGGGGGAGGATCACCTGAGGTCGAGAGTTCAAGACCAGCCTGGCCAACATGGTGAAACCCCGACTCTACTAAAAATACAAAAATCAGCAGGGTGTGGTGGTGTGTGCCTGTAATCCCAGCTACTAGGGAGGCTGAGGCAGGAGAATTGCTTGAACTCGGGAAGTGGAGGTTGCAGTGAGCCAAGATCATGCCACTGCACTCCAGCCTGTGGGACAGAGCAAGACCCTGTCTCAAAAAAAAAAATTCTTACCTCCTGGAAGTATTTTACTAGTGTTGGTTTCTATTTGACATTAAACACTTCCCCAGGCCAGTGCATTAGCAGTTAGCTCCTTACTGAATATTATCTGCAGCAAACAGTAGCTGACTCCTAGCTCTCTTCAGTGAACTTGAATTTAAATTTATAGAATTCTCATGACTTCTATTTCATCTTGAAACCCAGAGACTCCTTCCCTTTCCTAGTGATTTACCTTTCAATTATAGGTAGACTGAACCAGTCCCAGCCGTCCTTAGTTGGTCTCTATTCAAACACTGTACTTTTGTTTCTTGATTACATCTTCAATTATTTCAGTTATTTCTGAGATTCTCCCCTGTAATTTCTCCAACTATCTAGGGCATAAACAGTGCATGAATACCATTATGAAGGCTGTGAGACTTCAAATAAGTGAGTAGCCTTTCTGAGCCTCAGGTTTCTCCTCTGTAAACCAGGAATAATTTTTACTGAACAAAGTTATTCTAAGGATTAGTGAAATGTATGTAAAGCACTTAGCATTTAATAGGTGATCAAATGGTAAATGGTGCTTATAAAATGTCTTTATCATAGTAAAGTATATATAACAATATACATATATATACATATAAATGTATATATATGTATATGTATATATATGTGTATATATATATATTTTGAGATGGAGGCTTGCTCTGTCACCAGACTGGAGTGCAGTAGTGGCGCGGTCTCGGCTTACTGCAAACTCTGCCTCCCAGGTTCAAGGATTCTCCTGCCTCAGCCTCCTAAGTAGCTGGGATTACAGGCACCTGCCGCCACACTTAGTGAATTTTTGTATTCTTAGTAGAGACGGGGTTTCACCATGTTGGCCAGGATGGTCTCTATCTCTTGACCTCGTGATCTGCCTGCTTCAGCCTCCCAAAGTGCTGGGATTACAGGTGTGAGCCACCGTGCCCAGCCCGATTTTAACCAGTCTTAAGTGTGCAGTTATCGGCATTAAGTGCATTCATGTTGTTGTACAACCATCACCACCATCCATCTCCAGAACATTCTTATCATCCCGAAGTGAAACTCTGCACCCAGTAAGCAATAAGCCCTCATTCCTCTCTACCCCAGCCTCTGGCAACCACCAAACTACCTTTTTTTTTTTTTTTTGCTTTTTTCTGACAGGGTCTTACTCTGTCGCCCAGGTTGGAGTACAGTGGCATGATCATAGTTCACTGAAAGCTTGAACTCCCAGATTCGAGTGATCCAACCCACTTCAGCCTCCCCAGTAGTTGGGACTATAGGTATGTTCCACCACACCTGACTTTTCTTTTTAAAGTAGAGATGAGGTCTCACTATGTTGTCTAGCCTGGTCTTGAACTCTTGGGCTGAAGTGATCCTCCCGCCTTATCCTTCCAAGATGTTGGGATTACAGGAATGAGGCACTGAGCCTGACTATCATTCTACTTTGTTTCTATGAATTTTACTGATCTAGGTATCTCATATAAGTGGAATCATATATAAGGGAGGAAAAATATTTTTCCTCCACCCTTCTAATTTCTTGGCTGGGGCTCTTGTACCAAAAGACAGATTAACAAGAGAAAAGCATACACATTTACTTAACATAAGTTTTATATGACACAGAAAAAATGGACTTTTCTGGAAGTAACTTGATATAACTAGGAGCCTTTGTAAGGAAATAAAGACATGAAGAAACAGTTAAACCTATGTCTTTTTATATTAGGTTTGTCAAAAGACTAAATTACAACAAATTAGGTTTTATATTGTTTATCAGAGGACTACAACAAATTTATAGATTTAATTGTCTTTTATTCATGATTCATGAATCTGGGCACCTTTCACTCTACAAAACAGAATGAGAGTTCCCACTGGGCAATAGCAGAACCACAGGTTTTATGAGGTAGCAACAAGGAAACAGAATAGAAAAATCTGATTGGTTAACATCAAGCTACTTCAGTTACTTTTTTGTAATGGTTAAAGCAGAGGGGACTTCCTTCTTCCACTGATTCAAGTAGACTGGAATCTCATGTTTTCAAGAAAAACTGGTCTGTTTGGGGATCTGCTTCCTTAAAGTTTCAGTTTGATGACACAGCATTTAGCATAAGTAATTCAATTTTGGTTTGGTCTGATCTGTTGAAGGCTAGTGCAGGAGCTCAGCCCCAAAAGAATGGCCTCCCATCATTTTTAACAGTTTGATAAAAAGTGGAGAGAAGCAGAAAATTGCAAGAGGACAAAAAGGGGTAGGAGCTACGTGTAGTAAACTGGGAGGAACAGCAGGACCTATCATTCAGATTCCTCTCAGCGTTATCTTCAGAGAGAAGGATGCTCCTTCCTCCAGGGACAGGGACGGCATCTCTCACCCAAGGGCCTTGTGGCCTGCATCAGAGAAGAGGGTGGGAAGGTCAGAGTGTCCTTCTTATCATTTCTGAGATTCCTTCAGCTTCAAACATTCAATAAGCTAAGGTGGCTATTTTGGAGATTATCAAGAAGCTGATCACATAAAATACTTGTTCTTTGGTGACTGGTTTATTTCACGTGGCATAATGTCTTCCATGTTCATCCATGGTGTAGCATGTGTCAGAATTGCCTTTTTCTGTAAGCCTGAATAGTATTCTACTGCATATAGTGTGTATATACCATATTTTGTTTATTCATTTGCAGATAGACACTTGGCTTGCTTCCACCTTTTGGCTATTATGGATAATGCAACGTTATATTTTAACTACAGATCTTTTTACACCAAATAGACATAAACAATCAAAAGAATTTATCCTAGGCCCACAGAGAAAGCAGATGGGGTCCCTGATCGATTACAAGGGTTCTCTTTTTAAAATGACTTCTTCATAAACCTATGTGAGGGGAATACTGACAGTACCTACTTTTTATAGATGGAAATTCTATTTAAGAGCTCTCATGTCTGGGTGTGGTGGTTCATGCCTGTAATCCCAGCACTTTGGGAGGCCAAGGCAGGCAGATCACGAGGTCAAGAGATCGAGATCATCCTGGCCAACATGGTAAAACCCATCTCTACCAAAAATGCAAAAATTAGCTGGGCATGGTGGCATGCACCTCTAGTCCCAGCTACTTGGGAAGCTGAGGCAGGAGAATCACTTGAAGCCAGGAGGCAGAGGTTGCAGTGACCTGAGATTGCACCACTACTGCACTCCAGCCTGGTGACAGAGCAAGACTCCGTCTAAAAGAAAAAAAAAATTCTCATTACCTTCTCATATTACACAGAGGAGCTAAATATGACAATTAACTAAACTGAAGAAAGACAAACTGCTAATCTCAAGCAGTTATTACAAACTGTCAAGTTAATATAGACAGCAATCTGCAGTTTGAAAATGCCAATCACTACAAATCACAGGGAAAACATCTGTGCTTCAGTGGAAACACTACACATTGTTTAGATCACACTCCTTCAGTTTTTTGAGATAGGAACTCCCTCCGTCACCCAGACTGGAATGCAAGGGTATGATCCTAGCTCACAGCAACCTCCACTTCCCTGGCTCAAGGGATTCTCCCACCTCAGCCTCCTGAGTAGCTGGGACTACAGGCTCATGCCATCATGCCCAGCTAATTTTTGGAACTTTTTTTTGTAGAGAGAGGGTCTATGTTGCTCAGGCTTGTCTCAAACTCCTGGGGTCAAGTGATCTGTCTACCTCAACCTCCCAAAGTGCTGGGATAACAGACATGAGCCACTGCACCCAGCCCCTTTAAGGTTTTCTAGTCTAGCCTTTCACCTGTTTTATGGTATGTGAAGTTGAAAAGAACTGATAATGCAAATGACTCTTGTTTATAAACATGCAAATCAACCTGCCTTGGAAAGCCAATCCTTCTCCATGTGGCAAAGCCACTTATGCATCAATTTCCAGTTTATTTCAATATTCTGAGTAATAGATGTGTCCATCCCTTTGGGTTCCCTTTTGAACTGCTTGTAACATCTCACTGCTCACTTCATTAATAAAATATTTAACATTTATATCTATATGAGTGATAGTTTTTCCTGTTTTTGAAAAGTTACCCTTTAACAAATATAACATGCACAGGTGAGATAATGCCATGCTTCTCAAAGTATGGCCTGTGGAAGGAGCAGCCTGGTGCTCCCTCACAGTATTTTTAACAGAAATGCAGAACACTGGGCCCCACCTCAGGAGTGTGGAGTTGTAGCCGGATCCCTTTCACTGACACATTAAAGTTAGAGCCACCCTAGGTTAATACACATCACTGAATGTCCTCAAGGAATAGGAGTGTTGGATCTATCAGTCTCTCCCAACCATTACCTTGGCTTTGCCAAGTGCTTTCTGCCTGCCAAGCTCACTCTTGGATCAGATGGGGCCTCCCTGCCAGCAGTTCTACCTCATCCCCTCCGCACCTAAGTCAACTCCGGAGTTCACAGACCTCACTTCTGATCTCCACCGCCCCTCCTCCCCTTCTACGGTGACTCAAACCTTCAGGCAGTGAAAATAAGGAGACTCACAAACTAGGAGACTACAGCTTCAGACCACACATTTTCCACTGAGCCAATACCTGAGCAAAAACTAGTTTTCTGGAGTTGGGGGGATGAGGAAGATTTGATATTGAAAGTGTCCTTGGTGGCCTTTCAAAGCTCAACATCATCTAACAAAAATTTTGTTCCTTTTTCATTTGTTAGGGAATGTTTAGTTTTTCCTCTTTGATAATGAAAATTTGGTTCACAAACATTGCTTTGGGCCAATCTTCCTTTTCACAAATCACTGAGGTGTGTCTATCCACAAGTTCTCAGTCCAGCCTACATTTTCCAGTCTTCCATTTACCTATTCATCTAATACCTGAGTGCCTGGCATGTGTCCGCCCTGCGAACATGCTGGTGACAGCGTGAGCAGGCAGGGCTGGTTCCTGTACTCATGAAGCTTACACTACCTGAGGCTGGGGTGTAGAAATCGACACATTAAAAAGGCCACTGAGACTTTTTAAATATATACATATATATATGGCATACAAAAATGCTGAGCTGGAGCTTTGGAAAATGAAGAAAAAGTAATACAAATTTAAAATGTGACATCGATGAATGAAGACCATCACTTAACATATCCTATGTTTAAAAAATCTAATGTCCACAGGAAGTTGTCTGGGAGGTGGGCAGGGTTTCATACTGTAATGAGTATTTAGAAAGTTTAGAAGAGTTCTAATGGTTCTTAATTTAAGAATTATAAGAGGTAGATTCAGGTAGAGAGAGATTCCCATGATATTCACTGCTGGGTGGAGAAGGAGATCCATCCCCCTCCACTCACAAACATCCTCTTTGTGTTTTTACTCGACAGTCCTTCATTTAGCTGATCCATCTGTATTTATATTTGTTCTCTTCCGGATCTTGTTTCATAGTCAATATCAAGTGTTTTTGTGTAAACTGCCTGGTCTTGACAGGCCAGGCACGAAGTAGGCACCATTCACACAGCATTGCATTTAATCTTCACAAGACCCTTGCAAGGTAGGTCTCAGCCTCCCTTGATACAGGTGAAGCAGGAGGCTCAGGGCTGCTACAACTTGCCCCCAGTCCCAGAGCTGGTACACAGCAACCCAGATTGATGGATTCCAATACCCATCCATGCTGCCTTGCCTAACCATGTTGTTGGTGCCAAAATTTTGTAAATTAACCCGAGTTTATCTAAAATTAACTCAAAGTTAACGTACGCTATTTGGAAGTAGTGGTGGCAATGACTTATCAGAGAACTTTTAAGAGAAACAGCTGTGGCAAACGAGCCTGACTCACACTGAAGTTATCTGCAATCAAGTTGCCAACTGACAACTGATTAGTGAATGAAGCTGAGCGCCAGGACTCACGACAGCTGTCTGTTTCATAAACACGCCCTCGTTCCTCCTTTTGGCCGACTACTAAAGGGTTTAGGTGTCACACAGCATTTAGATGTTATGCAGAATGAGCAACAAGCAAAATGTAGGTGTAATCAGATAAGAGTGGAGAATTACCAGTATCTTTACAATCACCTGTTGGGCATTTCTGTTGATAATCACCAATTCAGAACAGCAAGGACAGAGAAGCCACAAGATTCCCTTAAAAGGCCTCATCCACTTGCATACTTTTGTTTTCAGGAAACAAAAATTATGTTATGTGGGCTCACAGTCAATAGATTTTTGTTCCAATTTGTATTTCCATGATACATAATTAAGATTTGTGGTTTGAGGTTGAAAGAATTCTGAATGTGTATGCTAACACTAACTCACATTAAAGCTAAGCACTAGGCTGGACACGATGGCTTATGCCTGTAATCCCAACACTTTGGGAGGCCGAGGCGGACGGATCACTTGAGGTCAGGAGTTCGAGATCTGCCTGGCCAACATGGTGAAAGCCCGTCTCCACTAAAAACACAATTAGCTGGGCGTGGTGGTGGGCACCTGTAATCCCAGCTACTCGGGAGGCTGAGGCATGAGAATTGCTTGAACCCAGGAGGTGGAGGTTGCAGTGAGCCAAGATTGGGCCACTGCACTCCAGCCTGGACAACAGAGCTAACAAGACTGTCTCAAAAAATAAAATAAAAACAAAGCTAAGCACTATATATTAAGTAGAAGATTGAATATTTTAACCAAGGGCGTAAATTATTAACCAGGATATTTAAAAAGCAATGAATTGAAGTTGCTGACATTTTTAAGAGAGCTGTTTCTTTCCCTAAAGTTTTAATATCAAACACACACACACACACACACACACACACACACACACACATACACACATACTTGGGTGGTGCCAATAAAAAGGAAACAAAAATAAAATGGAGAAATGGAGGTAATGATGACCCCAAGCTAAAGGAAGAGGAGGAGGGGGGTAGATATATGTTATTTTCGTTCCTTCCTATTTCACTCTTCACTGGAAAAGCACTTGAGTTACAGTTTGTGATTCTGTTAGTCCTTCAATATGGTAAAACAAAGAGGTTTATCTCATGTGCAAATAATCAATGAGGAGTGGCTGCCTCCAAGAGCCTGGGTAATGTTGACCTTAGTGAGAAGGATCTGAATCAGCTGCCAGGGCCACACACGTGCTGTGTGTTTGTTGATCCCGCCTTATGTCAACCAGTCAACATCAAAAATGATCAGGGCATTGCTAGGCAACTGCTTCTTCAGTCTTCACTAGTCAATTATTGTGATTAGGATATTTTGTTTTCCTAAATGGAACTTGATAGATGGATAGAATGGATTCTACATCGCATATTTTTCCCCTCTATCACGCACAGATGCCGTTGAGTATATCATCGCCTCCTTCTGTGCAGGGAGCCCGCCCTATGTAAGGTTAACAGGAAGGACGCAAAGGTATGCAGTGTAGAAAAAAATAGAAATAAGGACCCAGGCATAACTCTGAAGGAGCTTCTAACCATGTTGTGCAGATGAGGAAGACTCAATAATTAGTAAGTTATCCAAAGAAATTAGGGCTTTTTACTAGCAGAACAGTAAAAATTCTAAGTTTGGTAACACATGGAGTTGAGGAGGCTGTGGGAAAGAGGCATTCACTCATATTGCTGCTAGAAGTATAAACTGGTATAACCCGTCTAGAGGAGAGTGATTTAACAATTATCAAAACTAACTACCTAGTCCACATCTAGACATTTATTCTGCAGATATACTTTCCCAAATGCAAAATCTCAGATACACATTGTTTCTTGCTGCTTTGCTTATAATTATAAAAATAGCTCTTCTAAGTTTCCTATTGCTGCTATAATCAGTTACCACAAATGTAGCAGCTTAAAACAACAGAAACTTATCTTATTATGAGCCTGGAGGTCAGAAGTCTGAAACGCGTCTTGCGGAGCTAAAATCAAAGGCTGGTTCCTTCTGGAGGCTCCAGGGGAGAGTCCGTTTCCATGCCTCTTCCTTCTGTTGACGGCTTTCCACATACCTTGGCTTTTGATCGTGTATCACTGCAATCACCACTTCCATCTTCGTATCACCTGAGTCTGACGCTTCTTCCCGCTTATAAGGACGCTTGTGATTGATTCCATTGTGCCCACCTGGATGATACACGCTCCTCTGCCCATCTCACAATCCTTACTCCCAAGGCCCCTTTGGCTATGTAAAGTAATATATTCCTAGATTCAGGGATTTGAATGTGGACATCTTTTTTTTTTTGGAAAGACAGAGTCTCACTGTGTCACCCAGGCTGGAGTGCAGTGGTGCAATCTCGGTTCACTACAACCTCTGCCTCCTGGGTTCAAGTAATTCTCCTGCCTCTTAGCCTCACAAGTAGCTGGGACTACAGGCGCATGCCACCACACCCGGCTAATTTTTTGTGTTTTTAGTAGAGATGTGGTTTCACTGTGTTAGCCAGGATGGTCTCAATTTCCTAACTTCATGATCCGCCCGCCTCGGCCTCCCAAAGTGCTGGGATTACAGGCGTGAGCCACCGTGCCCGGCCTGTGGACATCTTTTATTCAGCCTATCACAATAGCAAACGTCTGGAAACAAACTGGATGTCCACCAGCAGGGGACTGATTCAAAAAATTATGATAAATTCATACAACAGAATACAGTTGTTTAAAATATGAGAAAATGTATTATGTACTAAACAGAAAACTCACCAAAATATAATGTTAGGTGAAAAAAGCAAAGTACAGAACAGACACAGGAATGCAGTATACATAATTTGCTTGTATATATGAGGTTTAAACTATCTCTGGAATGATATAGCAGAAATTAATCATGGTGGTTACCTGTAGGACAGGAAGAGGGTGCTGGCATTGCAAGAATGAGACTTTTCACTAACACTCTTTCATAATTTTTTATCTTAGAAACTTGTAACTATATTACTTATCCAAAAAGTAAAATAATAAAGTTTAGAAAGAGTAAAAACAAAACAAAGTGTAAAAAAAGTTATAGATGGGGGATAAGTACCCATTGTAGGACTCTTTATGCTAGAGCTGTACAATTTTTAAAAATGTGAAGTATGTATATGTTACCAGGAATCCCAGGATATATGATCAAGTGACTGAAAACTATGAGCAAAATAAAAAACAGAAAAAAGAAACAAACCCACAAGTGCTTCAGGTATTAGAATTATCAGACATGAACTTTAAAGTCATTGGTAATATTATCAAACCTAGGTTTAAATAACTAGTAGTTTTTTTTTTATCTTGGTGCTAGTTACAGAGGTTTATTTACATTGTGATAATTCATCCACCTGTACATTTAAGATGGCACACTTTCTGTCAGGTATATTATACTTCAATAAAATTTTACAAAAGTAGAAAACTTGTGGGATGTGACTAAATCTGGGGTGGGGGGAATCTATAATCGTAAACACATGTATTTGAAAACAAAACAAAAAAAGTACTGAAAAACTGTTATGATAGGTGTGGTGGCTCACATGTATAATCCCGACATTTTGGAAGGCCAAGGTAGGAAGTTTGCTTGAGGCCAGAACTTCAATACCAGCCCAGGCAACATAGTGAGACCTGTCACAGCAAAAAAAAAAAAAAAAAAAAAAAAAAAAAAAAAAAAAATTAATTGAGCATGGTGACACACACCTGTAGTCCCAGCTACTTGGAAGGCTGAGGAGGGAGGATTGGATCACTTGAGCTCAGTAATTTAAGGCTGCTATGAGCTATGATTCATCACTGCACTATAGCCTGAGTGACACAGTAAGACCCTGTCTCAAAAAAAAGAAAAAGAAAAAGAAAAAAACTCCAATGATCTAAGCATCCATCTCAAAAATCCCAGCAAATTAAGCTGAATGAAATTAAAATGATGGAAATAATAAGGATAAAAGCTGAAATCAATGAAAAAAAAACCAAAGACATAATAGAGAAAATATAAAAAGCCAAAGCTGTTTCTTTGAAAACAGTATTCCAGTTGCTAATCTCTGTGGCAGCCAGCCTCCAAAATGGCCCGCGGTGATTTTCACTTCTGCTATCCATGCCTCGTGCAGTTCTCTCTCATATTGAATATGGCTGACCTGTGTTATCAAAAAGCTAGTTCAAATTTCCTAGGCTAGATTATAAAACACATGGCAGCTTCCACCTTGCTCACCCTGGGTGAAAGTAGCTACCATACTGCAAGGACATTCAAGCAACCCTACAGAGCTTAATGCATTACATTACAGAGTTCTCCTGCTAACAGACAGCATTGACTTGCTAGCCATGTTAAGTGAGACGTCTTGAAATTGGATGCCCTAGCCTCAGTCAAGCCTTCGGATGACTGCAGGCCTAATCAACATATTGACCAAGACAGAACCAACCAGCTAAAGCATTTCTCAAATCAGGACCCACAGAAGCTCTATATTAGTTTTCTATTTTTGTATAACAAATGAACATCTCAGGAAACATACATATATTGTCTAGTATATTTTCTCTTATACAGTTTCTGTGGGTCAGGATTTCATTTAAGAAAATACATGTTTATTCTTTTTTAAGTGGTTTTTTTACTTCCTTTTTTTAAAATTTATTTTTTATTTCAATAGGTTTTTGGGGAACAGATGGTGTTTGGTTACATGAATAGCTTCTTTAGTGGTGATTTCTGAGATTTTAGTGCACCCATCACTCGAGCAGGGTACACTGTACCCAATGTGTAGTCTTTTCTCCCTCATCCCCCTCCCACCCTTTCCCCTGGGTCCCCAGAATCAATTGTATCATTCTTATGCCTTTGCATCTTCATAGCTTTGCTCCCACCTATGAGTGAGAACATATGATATTTGGTTTTCCATTCCTGAGTTACTTCACATAGAACAAGTCTCCAATTCCATCCAGATTGCTGCAAATGCCATTATTTTGTTCCTTTTTATGGCTGAGTGGTATTCCATGCTACATATATACCACATTTTCTTTATCCATTTGTTCACTGATGGGCATTTTAACTGATTCCATATTTTTTCAGTTGCAGATTGTGCTGCTATAAACATATGAGAAAAGGCCAGTCACCATGGCTCATACCTGTAATCCCAGCCCTTTGGGAGGCCGAGACAGACAGATCACCTGAGGGTCAGGAGTTCGAGACCAGCCTGACCAACATGCAGAAACCTTATCTCTACTAAAAATACAAAATTAGCTGGGTGTGGTGGCACATGCCTATAATCTCAGCTACCTGGGAGGCTGAGGCAGGAGAATCGCTTGAACCAGGGAAGTAGAGGTTGTGGTGAGCTGAGAGCACACCACTGCACTCCAGCCTGGGAAACAAGAGTGAAACTGTCTCAAAAAAAAAGGGAGGAAAAAACATATTTATTCTCTCGTATTTTCTGTGGGTCAGGAATTTGGGCACAACTCAACTGGGTTCACTGCATAGGGTCTCACAAGGTTGCAGGCAAGGCGTCAGCTGAGCTAGGTTCAAGCTCATTCAGGTTGTTGACAAAATTCATTTCCTTATGTCTGTATGATTGTGTAGCTATGTTTTTTATTGGGTATTGGCTGGAGGCCACCCTCAGGTCCTAGACACCACCTGCTGTTGGGCTTCCTCAATATGGTCACACACTTCATCAAATCAGCAAGGAGAATCTTGTGTGCATGCCAGCAATATGTCTATCTCATATCCTAATGTATGTCTCTCTCCTCCTCCTCCTCTCCTCTTCCCTCTCCTTTCTTCTGTGCGCACACACACACACACACATCCCAGGAGTAACAACCCATCACATTTGCAATATTATGTCAGTTAGAAACAAGTCACAGATCCTACTCACACTTACTCGATTTCATCCAAAAGTTTGGGCAGTGATCCCATCCACACTAAAAAAGGAAGAGATCATACAGAGCATAACACCAGGACATCGAGATCATGGGAAACAGAAGTCTGCCTATCACAGATAATAAATACTTGTTGTTGTTTGAAGACATTAAGTTTCAGGTAATTTCTTATGCAGCAATAGATAACTAATTAGTAAGAGTTGTGCCTAACTAATTAGGCACAAGTTAGAATATAAGGAGTGAAGACTTATCACTATAGATCCTACAGATACTAAAAGATAAGAGTTTGTTTTACTATAAGCAAGCCTATCACAATAAGACTATTTAGATTAAAAGGCTGGTAAGTTTTATGCTTTGTATATTTTACCATGATAAAAACATTTTATAAGCATCACTTACCATTTGATCACTTATTAAATGCTAAGTGCTTTACATACATTTCACTAATCCTTAGAACAACTTTGTTCAGTAAAAATTATTCGTGGTTTACAGAGGAGAAAACTGAGGCTCAGAAAGGCTACTCATTTATTTGAAGTCTCACAGCCTTCATAATGTTATTCATGCACTCTTTATGCCCTAGAGAGTTGGAGAAATTGCAGGGGAGAATCTCAGAAATAACTAAAATAATTGAAGATGTAATCAAGAAACAAAAGTACAGTGTTTGAATAGAGAGCAACTAAAGACGGCTCTGACTGGTTCAGTCTACATATAATTGAAAGGTAAATCACTAGGAAAAGGAAGAAATCTCTAGGTTTCAAGATGAAATAGAAGTCATGAGAATTCTATAAATTTAAATTCAAGTTCACTGAAGAGAGCTAGGAGTCAGCTACTGTTTGCTACAGATAATATTCAGTAAGGAGCTAACTGCTAATGCACTGGCCTGGGGAAGTGTTTAATGTCAAATAGAAACCAACACTAGTAAAATACTTCCAGGAGGTAAGAATTTTTTTTTTTGAGACAGGGTCTTGCTCTGTCCCACAGGCTGGAGTGCAGTGGCATGATCTTGGCTCACTGCAACCTCCACTTCCCGAGTTCAAGCAATTCTCCTGCCTCAGCCTCCCTAGTAGCTGGGATTACAGGCACACACCACCACACCCTGCTGATTTTTGTATTTTTAGTAGAGTCGGGGTTTCACCATGTTGGCCAGGCTGGTCTTGAACTCTCGACCTCAGGTGATCCTCCCCCCTTGGCCTCTCAAAGTGCTGGGATTACAGGGGTGAGCCACTGCGCCTGGCTGCTGCTGCTTTTTTTGTAATGGACCTGGGAGATTTTTAGGAATGAGGGAAATGATCGTTTCTTTGAATAAGGCAGAATACTAAAGACTAGCCAGCCCTCAGGCTCATGGTGGTTGCTGCTATTCTGTTGAACGTCAACCATAGCCTTTAGAAAGGAGTAATTCTTTGTGGAATACACAGGATTTAAAGTGCATCAAAGGGGTGGAAACTCAGCTGACCATGATACCCTCAAGTGACTTTTTCCACTGAGTTTGATTATTTTCTCACTTGGCACTTCTTTCTGGGCTTCTTAAGCAGCCCTAAAGCTCTAGGTGATTTTACTTTTGTAATTGTATTCTCTTGGGAATGCTCATTCCTTATTGTTTCAGTAAACAGCCTTGAACTCCTGGATTCAAGTGATCCTCCCACCTCACCCTCCTGAGTAGTTGGGACTACAGGCTGCAGAAACTTTAAAGAGAAAATAGAGGGAACAGAGCCAAGCTCATTTATTGAGATTAAGATAAACTTGATATCAAAACTAGACTTGTCACAGAGAGTGCAAGAGGCGGGAGTTATCTCCCAAATCCAAGTTCTGCCTCTGGATTATTAGACATGGCCTCACTGTCCTTGATCTGCAAGGAATTTATACTGATTAGAGCATTAGTAAAAGCTATGTTCTATTCATCATGAAAAGTCATTTTTTAAAGATTCCAGAATTATTAGACGCAGAAACA
The DNA here is from genome assembly GCF_000001405.40 of Homo sapiens. NCBI lineage: Eukaryota > Metazoa > Chordata > Mammalia > Primates > Hominidae > Homo > Homo sapiens. The sequence continues at coordinate 108,158 of NT_167211.2, read as the reverse complement.
AATTGAAAGGTTGTACACCTACACCTGTTGTTTGAAAAACACAACTTACCAAAGCCAAACAGAAGAAGTATGTAAACTCTTATGTCTAGTAATAGGCAGAATCCGTAATTTAAAACTTTCCCACAAAAACAATTCCCAGTTCCTGATGGCTTCACTGGTAAATTGTTCAATGAAAGGGAAAAGTAACACCAACACTACAGAATTACTTTTTTAATTTCCGGGACAGATTTTTTTTTTTTAAATCTTAGTGACAGAGTCTCACTATGTTGCCCAGGCTGGAGTGCAGTGGCTTTTGACAGTCACGTTCCAGTGATCCTCCCACCTCAGCCTCCGGAGTAGCTGGGACTACAGGTTACAGAAACTTTTTTTTTTTTGGGACAGAGTCTCGCTCTGTCACCCAGGTTGGAGTGCAGTGGTGCAGTCTCGGCTCACTGCAAACTCCGCCTCCCGGGTTCACGCCATTCTGTCTCAGCCTCCCTGGTAGCTGGGACTACAGGCACCCACCACCACACCTGCCTAAATTTTTTTTGTTGTATTTTTAGCAGACACGGGGTTTCACCATATTAGCCAGGATGGTCTCGATCTCCTGACCTCGTGATCTGCCCGCCTCGGCCTCCCATAGTGCTGGGATTACAGGCGTGAGCGACCGTGCCTGACCAGAAATTTTAAGAGAACAAAAATAAAGGGAACAGAGCCATGCTCATTTTTTGAGATTACAATAAACTTGATATCAAAAGTAGTCTAAAAAATTACAAAAAGTAAAACTACAGGCTAATCAGTCACATGAACACGAGCCCAAAAGTCATTTTTAAAAACAGCACACTAAGCAGGGCACAGTGGTTCATACCTGTAATCCCAGCACTTTGGGAGGCCGAGGTGGGAGAAGTGCTTGAGCTCAGGAGTTCCCTTTATTTTTGTTCTCTTAAAAGTTTCTGTAGCCTGTAGTCCCAGCTACTCAAGAGGCTGAAGTGGGAGGATAACTGGAACGTGACTGTGAATAGCCACTGCACTCCAGCCTGGGCAACATAGTGAGATCTGTCCCTAAGATTTAAAAAAAATCTGTAATGTTGTTTTTTTTTTTTCCCTTTCATTGAAGAATTCACCAGTGATGCCATCAGGAACTGGGGACTGTTTTTGTGAGGAAGTTTTAAATTATGGATTCTATTTATTTCATAATTATAGGAGTATACATACTTCTTATGTTTGGTTTTGGTAAGTTGTGTTTTTCAAACAGTAGGTATACAACCTTTTAATTTGTTTCTGCTTATAATAATTGTGGGATCTTTTTTTAAAAAAATGATTGATTTTCATGAATAGAAGATAGGTTTTACTAATACTACACTCAATGTTAATTCCTTGCAGTTCAAGGACACTGAGGTCCCGTCTAATAATACAGAAGAAAAACTAGGATAGTGGCAAGACTAGCCTGGGGAGCAAAGTGAGACTCCAGTTCAAAAAAATAAAAAATTAGCCAGGTGTGGTCACACACATTCTGTGGTCCCAGCTACTCGGGAGGCTGAGGCAGAAGAATAGCTTGAACCCAGGAGGTGGAGGTTGCAGTGAGCCTAGCTTGTGCCATTGCACTCCAGCCTGGGCGACAAGAGTGAAATTCTGTCTCAAAAAAACCAAACAAAACAAAACAAACAAACAAACAAAATATATACAGAGAGAGAGAGGCTGCCTAGAGAGGAGTAATACACTAAACTAGCAATGCTAGTTTCAATTTAGGGTGAATTACTTCAGTAGAGAACCGAAGTACGTGCACTAGCCTGAATATGTTAATTTAAATTAAAAAAACAAAAACTTAAAAAAAATTAGAGATGGGGTCTCGACATGTTGCCTGGGCTGAATCCAAACTCCTAGGCTCAAGCAGTCCCCCCACCTCAGCTTCCCAAGTAGCTGAATAAGCTAATTAACTTGTTTTGTTTCTCTCAGGGAGTGCACAACAGGTGGAGGGAGGAGGCAGGAGGGTGGGGATGAGAGCACCTTCCCAAGAAAAGGACTGGAAGAGTTTATAACAACCAGGAAAGGCCTGGGGCACAGCAAAAGGAACTGGCCTTTGCCTCTAGGAGAAAGGAACACCTCCTCCCTTCTTCCAGCCTCCCTTAAGAAAAATACCCAAGAATGCCCCCAGCCCTGTGAGCACAGAGCACTGGTGTGAGTTGTTTACTTGTTAATGAGTTTGCACCACTGTCTGCATGTAATGAGTCATTCAGGTCATTCTGGGATGATGTTGGTATGCACAAACCCCTCCTTTAATCTGGTTGGCTAGTTCAGAATAGACAAGTTTTAACACTGCTTCCTTCTCCCATCAAGAAGTAAAGCCCAGGTTCTGAGGAACAGACTCCATCTGGAGACCATGTTTGGTGAACCTGAGTTTCGGGAAAGACACGGCTTCAAGCCTCAAGTTGTTTTGCCCCTTCCTGTGGCTGACAGCATGAGAGGTCAGGATCACAACGAATTTTACCATTTTGACGGGGATTTTAAAACGTCACTGTTTAAAAAACGCTGCTTTGAAAATATTTTTAATCTTGATTTATATAAGCATTTATTTCTTGATAAGATTTGAATTATAACCTAATTGATAGATTTAATATTCTTCGGGGCTAAGACTACATGAGAAAAAAATGTTATACAGATTTTTTAAATGATTCCTGGGCTTAAGGAAAAAAATTACTTTTAAATCCTTACCAGTCTCCTAGATAATTAACGAGCAGGTGCTGCCTGGGAGTGTAAAGATTTTTAGGTCTTATGACCTCGTGGCCGCTTGGTCCCAAAAATAAGATTACTTGCCTCTTTCCTTATTCTTACTGGATAGAATGAGACTTGTTTAAAACGTCTCGTTTAGGTTAGAAAAGAAAATGGGAAACCATATTTGTAATCGACCTGACATTTATAAGTACCTGATTTAAATGAACTTTACCCAAAGCACACTCCACAAAAGGCACTTCAAATTTCACTGGAGCACAGCCCTTTGTGTTGTAGAATAATGTAGAATAAAATGGCTTTCTTTTTTTAACTACACCACAACACTCTTAAGGAAATGAAAGTAGGTAAGGCATCTATCTGTGAACAGCAGTGCTATCCATTCCATGAATGTTTAGGGTTTACTCCATGTTAGGCACTAGGGATAGGATGGCAAACAGGGCAGACGGGTCCCCTGACCTCTTCCACCACCCTACAGTCGAGTGAAGAAAGTAGATTTTTAAAAAATTATTATTATACTTTAAGTTTTAGGGTACATGTGCACAATGTGCAGATTACTTACATATGTATACATGTGCCATGCTGGTGTGCTGCACCCATTAACTCGTCATTTAGCATTAGGTATATCTCCTAATGCTATCCCTCCACCCTCCCCCCACCCCACATTGCTCTTGTCTCCCAGGCTGGAGAACAGTGGTGATATCTCGGCTCACTGCAACCTCCGCCTCCTGGGTTCAAGCAATTCTCCTGCCTCAGCCACATGAGTAGCTAGGATTACAGGCATGCAACACCACACCTGGCTAATTTTGTATTTTTAGTAGAGATGGGATTTCGCCAGTTGGCCAGACTGGTCTCGAACCCCTGACCTCAGGTGATCCTCCTGCCTTGGCCTCCCAAAATGCTGGGATTGCAGGCGTGAGCCACCATGTCCAGCTAGATTTTAAATATTAACAAAATAATTATAAGTTCTGATTATTACTATTAAGAGAAAAGCACAGAGATAGAATAACATCAGAGAGGGGGCACCACCACTTTAGGAAGCCAGGGAAGGGCTGGAGGAGGTGAAATTTAGGCAAAGATTGAAGGACATTAGGAGTCAGACCTGCCATAGCAGGAGGGAATAGCATCCCTGGCAGAGAGGAAAGCTTGTTCAGAGCCACAGTCCTGAAAGAAGCTTGTTTGAGGGACTACAAGAAGACCAATGTGCTTGAAGCATAATACGTCTAAGATCAGATGTGTGATGAGTTTGAAGAGGCAGCTAGATCACCGTAAGAACTTTGGAGGGCTTTTGGCAGGAGAGTGACATGATCTGATCTGATGTATATTTTGAAAGGTCACTCCAGCTTCCAGGTAGCAGTGGAAGAAGACATGCAAAAATCACAATCATATCTTACAGGGCAGCAGTGGAAGCAGACACGCAAAAATCACAATCATAACTTACACGGCATGGTAGCTTGGAGTACGGAGGAAGAGGAAGCACATTTGGGGTATATTTTGGAAGTGGAATAAACAGATCTGCTGATGGATGGAAAAGGGTGGGGTGAGGGTTGGTAATGAGGAGCCAAGGATGACTCATTTTAAGGTTGGAGTAACTGGGAAGGCTTGGAAGACTAGTGGAGAAACAGGTTTGGAGAGAGAAGTCTCAGTCCCTTAGTCATTCACCTCAGTTTCTTAGTCACTGGAATACCTTAGATCTCTTATCTACCATTTCTTTAAAAACATGCGTGAACCCAGGGAGGCCAATGTGGAAGGATCCCTTGAACCCAGGAGTTTGATGCATACCTGGGCAACACAGCAAGACCCTGTCTCTCTAAAAACAACAACTACAAAAAAACGGGGGGGCAGAAAGAGGCTGGGCACAGTGGCACATGCCTATAATCCCAGCACTTTGGGAGGCCGAGGCAGGTGGATCACATGAGATCAGGAGTTTGAGACCAGCCTGACCAACACGGTGAAAACTTGTCTCTATAAAAATACAAAATTAGCCAGGCATGATGGCATGCACCTGTAATCCCAGCTACTTGGGAGGCTGAGACAGGAGAATCGCTGGAACCTGGGAGGCGGAGGTTGCAGTGAGCCAAGCTAGTGCCACTACACTGCAGCCTGGGTAACAGAGCAAGACTCTGTCTCAAAAAACAAACAAACAAACAAACAAAAACAGAAAGAAACATGTGTAGCAGAAAACTGCTGCCTGCTGGGCTTAAACTAACCCCAGATTTAAAAAAAAAAAAAAAAAAATATATATATATATATATATATATATATATATATATATATATATATATGGCAAGAGCTTACAGAACAGGCAGCACCAAGTGGGAGCTGGGGGGCTTGTCTTGATGCTGCATTTGATAAATATACACAGTTTTTACTCAGATTATATGTTTGCTTAGATTTGGGCTAAAGATCCCCAAAGCCACCCCTTGGTATTGACACTCATTAAGAAATTAAGGAAGAGATAGTACTATTGAACTATTTTCCAAAAAAAGAAAAAAAAAGGACAAAAACCCAAAACAAATGGGATGTGATGTACATTTTCCATGTTATTTTATACATGAGCTATCTTTCCAATACTGAAATTGGTTTAGCAAGAAAAGAATTAAAGACGTCAATGTGCAAGCCAAGAGCCAAAACCACTCTCAACAGCCCAAGGTTGTGTACGTATTTAATTTGCCATTTCCCTGGCAAGTCATTTCTTGGATCATTGACTTAATATTATTCTGTAAAACAGTGGTAGCCCCTGTCTTCCTCTGCTTGCTGCCAAGAGTATGATCCAGCTGTGGGGTCTGAAGAGTCTATGTTTATTGGATTTTAATGTCTTAGTTAACAAAGGTCATTCCTAAAAGTAATAGAAAACTAAGGGTGTGGAAACAGAACGGAAAAGACTGACTCAAGGGTTATTTCTATTATTTCCTTGGTGTTGTCCTTAGATACATGTTTAATCCTTAAAAGCAATTATGAAGGAGTCTTCCTCATAACCAATTTACTGATGCTATATTCAACTATACTTGTAAAATGTTATTTTAACCCTCTCAGTAACAAAAGGAACAGGGCTTAAAATATGTTAGATAATATTGCCATAAACAATGTACTGGTAACATAATATTGCTGACAGTATAATTGTAATTCACTGTAATACTTGAATGCCACAACTGTAGTGCTTCCATTATCACTGACGGTAGGAAATAACTTCAGTCTCAGGTGAAATCTGGTTGGATACAAATCTCCAAGTTAAAAGAAACCTCAAGGATCATTTAATCTTGTCCTTTTAAATATTTAGTAACTCATTTGGTAGTAAATATTTATCCAAATTATGTTTCTTAGGCTGTTAAAGAATTTCCAGGCTGGGTGTGCTGGCTCACGCCTGTAATCTTAGCACTTTGGGAGGACGATGCAGGAGGATCACTTGAGGCCAGGCGTTCGGGAACAAATTGGGCAACAAAATCAGACTTTATCTCTATTCAAAGTAAATAAAACTAAAAAAAAAATTAGGGGCCGGACACAGTGGCTCACACCTGTAATCCCAGCATTTTGGGAGGCCAGGGCGGGAGGATCACCTGAAGTTAGGAGTTCAAGACCAGCTGGACCAACATGGAGAAACCCCATCTCTACTAAAAGTACAAAATTAGCCAGGCATGGTGGCGCATGCTGCTAATCCCAGCTACTTGGGAGGCTGAGGCAGGAGAATTGCTTGAACCTGGGAGGTGGAGGTTGCATTGAGCCCAGATCACACCATTGCACTCCAGCTTGGGCAAGAAGAGCGAAACTCTGTCTCTAAATAAATAAATAAATTAGCTGTGTATGGTGGCACACACCTGTAGTCACTTCTACTCGGGAGGCTCAGGTGAGAGGATTGCTTGAGCCCAAGAGTTCGGGGTGTTGTGAGCTATGATCGCACCACTATACTCCAGCCTGGGTGACAGAGGAAGACCCTGTCTCAAAAAAAAAAAAAAAAAAAAAAAAAAAAAAAAAAAAAGAACTTGAGCTAAATGGTGATTGAATTATTTGAAATTAAATTGATGAAATCATTTAAGAATATGTGGAAAGAAAGAAATTTACAGTCATTCCTCAGGTATAAATTAAATATTTTCCACCTCAAAAATCCAATGACATGAGATATAAATGTATAGTTCACATATGTAATACATTTCTCACATGGTTACAGAACCTTTCTGATCTGGCTCCAATTGACTTTTCCAGCCTTATCTCATTTCTCCTCCCTCCTTCCAGCCGTTTTTTCCTCCTCCTCTCCTTAGCTACAGCTTTACTAATCTTCCTACTGTGAGCCTCAAACCCACACTGCTCTCAGGTCTCAGGGCCTATGTACAAGTAATTCCCACTGCCTGGAATCCCTTGCTCTCATTCTTTGTTGGGTCATTCTGCAGACCCAGTACTACTTCCTCTTGGGAGCCTTTGTCCATCTCCTCTTCCCCCAATCTCCGAACCCCACCAAGACCTCAGTAGTTCTTGAGCAAGCCTCTGCTTAGTTTTCCTGGGATGACCAAAACTAACACTGTCTGATCCGTTGTTCAATCCCCAATCCCTAGAACAGAGCTGCAACATAACAGGCACTCTAAATGAATGAATGGATAAAGACAGCACTGAATAACTTGAAACATAGTTTACACATGTAAACAGTAACATAAATCTGAAGAAATAAAGGTTTTTTTGTTTGTTTTTTCGAGATGGAGTCTCGCTCTGTCACCAGGCTGGAGTGCAGTGGTGCAATCTGGCCTCACTGCAACCTCCGCCTCCCGGGTTCAAGCGATTCCCCTGCCTCAGCCTCAGCGTCCCAAGTAGCTAGGACTCCAGGCACGCGGCACCACGTCTGGCTTTTTTTCTTTTTTTTCTTTTTTTTTTGTATTTTAGTAGAGATGGGTTTCACTATGTTGGCCAAGACGGTCTCAATCTCCTGACCTTGTGATCCGCCTGCCTCAGCCTCCCAAAGTGCTGGGATTACAGGCGTGAGCCACCGGGCCTGGCCAAGTTGTTGTTTTTAAAAGATACATTTCAACTCACTTCTCTAAGGCCGGAATACACACAGCCTGCCATCAGTTTGACATAAAACAAAAATTTTAGCGTTGTCGTATGCTAAATTTCTTTTACTAGGTTAAAAAAATGTAGAATCCAAAGAGCTGTAAATGCAAATAACAAATACTGTACAAAATTTATCAAGCAACTATAAGTCACAACTTGCAAGTTTTCTCCTCAGCAAATGAGTTAAAAAGAAAAGTATTTGAAACTTTCTTGGTGGAAAACGAATGACCTTTAAAAATGCCAACATTTTCCCCAGAGAGTAGATTTGGTCTGAGTTCTTCATTTCTGAAATTGTACAAGATAAGACCGCTTGGTTTGGAAGTCAAACTGCATCCTTCTATAAAGGTTTTAGATATTTTAAGTCTCCATACAAAACACTCCCCTTATTTTCAGAACAAAAGGAACAATAAGACAGCTTAGGCAGGGCAGAGAAAGAAAGGCCTTGAAACAAAGTCCCTGGAAAGGTAAAAACAACAAAAATAGTAAGTTAGAGCTTGTGTTAGATCTGATAACTCAAAACTGCACAACTTTTGCCATACATCAAAAGCAACATGGGAAAACAGAAAAAGAGATCACAAACACTTTTTGAGTGTCCTAACTTGTAGAACCCCTAAGAATGAATCAAATACACTTGGACAAAGCTCTTTTTTTCTCTCTCTCCTTCAAGTCTCAGACTAGGGGTGTGGGGCGGGGGACAGGGAGTAAGACGGGGTCTCTAATAAATACAAAACCCAGCCTCAGACGTGTTTAATTGCTGGCATTTTAGAAGAAAAATGGGCTACTTACAATTAATGAACCAAACTACCAAACTAAAATCATGAGTAGGAGGAGGAGTAAATGGAACTGTCTGGGGGAAGTTTCAGGAAGGCGCAAGCTGGGGTCGCTGCGCCCTCCCCCACCCATACCTCGGGGCTCTCCAGTCGCTCCCGGCCCCCAGCGCGGACTTTCGGGCGCCGGCGGCCCAACCATACAGACTTGGCAGGATGTAGCCCCCTTCTCCCCTCTCCAAGAGAGAAAAGTGCGAGGAGACGCAAACCGTATTTCCGTGTCCGAGCGCTGAAACCTGTGGAGTCGCACGCGGAGCGCCCACACTCGTTCCCAGGGAGCCCCAGCCCGGTCGCCCGCCCCGGTCCCAGCTCCAGCCCCGGCCTCCCTTACTCTGGGGCTCCATGATCGGCTGCTCCCCGCCCTCCGCGGGCGAACGCCCGGGCTCCTAACGCCTCTCAGCCAGGGCCGGCGTCGCTACGGTTGCCCTGACAACCCGGAGGCAGAGTGGGCAGAACCAGAGGGATGGCGAGCGGGAGGGACTAAAAGCCGCAGGAAGTGAGGGAGCGCGTGAGGATCCGCGCGTCGCCGGGGACACTGAGCGACGGTAGCGGCCATGTCACCGGCTGAGGACACTGCCTGTGAAGCCCTGTCAGGTGGTCGCGCCCTCCCTGGCGGCCCCCGCGGCCCCGCAGGACCTGTGCCCCGACTTCGCCGACCCGCCTCGTCCGTTGGGCGAGTGGGCCTGCCCGCGGGTAAGGCGCCGGCCCTGGGCCGCCCTCCCGGGACTCGGGAGGCGTCGCTGCAGGTAACAGCTGGGCCCCGGCGGCGGAAGGGGTCGGGGGTCGGCGCAGGGGCGGGCGCGCCTCGAGCCGGGTGGGCGGACCCGGCGCACCTGTTGTAGCCGCCTGGGGGTCCCCTGCCCGCAGTTGGCCGTGGACATTCCCTGCCCCGACTCTGAAACGCCGAGGACGGCCTCCGCGCCTCCTGCTCCGGGAGCCACGCCTCAGCGAGAGGACGGAGCCCTGCTGGCAGCCCTCGCACCAGGGGCTCCCTCCGAGCCCGGGCATCGCCGGGCCTGGGGTGGTCCCTGGAGCCCCCCTGACGGGAAGCGTGGAGCAATGCGAGCCGCTGCCATCGTCACTGTCGTCCCCAGTGAGCTGGGAGCGCCTCCTGAATCGCGAGAGCCAGGAGCAGGGCTTTGCCCGGCTTTGCCCCGTCATCCCCATGTCCCATTTCAGGCAGGGGGCCCAGGTTGGATCTTTCTCACTGGCTTCGTTTTGTGTGTGTTGATTTGTTTCAGTCCTTCGCGTTTCCAGTTGAGTTATGGAATCTGCCCACACTTTTTGTGGCCAAACTTTGTAGGGCTGTGAAACAATGTAACATTATCCCACACAATAGTCTTTCATACTGGTTTTAAAACACAGTGATGCAGGGTTTGCTTTAAGGAAGCTTTGAGGATCACAAGGGATTATTATCTGGTAGGTTGTAAAAATTCAAACAACCGGCAGAGTATCATAGGTTCTGGAACACCGGAAGGAGGAAAGAAAAATGGAGAGGACAGAAAAAGGATAAGCAAGAAAGTGCAGGGGCATTAAGGGTGTGGGGGGCTGCAGGATTGATTTGGTACTCAGGTCTGGAGATTATGGCCCCTCTATTAGTTCCAACCGCTGCTCCAGACAGTACTTGAGGGAAATGGAAGGAAGAGCCGTTTTGGGGGTCATGCAAGTGATTAATAATCTTGCCAGTATAAAGATTTCCACTCCATGGATGACAAGGACACTAAGGAGAATTACTTTCCTCTTAGAAAGGGAATCATTGAGAGGTTAATTGAACTTGAGAAGCATATATTCTGTGATGGAAACTGACATATATTATATTCTTCCAAATTAGCTCTTCCCCCTCTTAGACTATATGGGGACTTTTTCAGATTAATTGTCAAAACAAGAAGGTTTATGTGTGGATATTGACAAGCAGCGTGATATATACAGAACACATAATTCTTAAGCTGAAGTATTAAGGTAATAAATTGAGGGTGGAAAGTAAACACTTCATGGAACCTTAACTCCCTGTTCCTGAAATTTGGAGACAGGGCTTTATTTTTAGACAGAAAGTATCTAAAGATCAGCAGTACTTCTGTATCCAGTGGTTCTCAAGTTCTAGTTTACATATCATTAGCAAAATCACAAAGCGGTCTTTTCATTCAAGATACAAATAGAGTGATCAGTATATCATAATCGAAAGTGACAAGATAGTGATTTAAAAAACACCTGGCATTTATTGACAAAAGAAAAGGTAAGATTAAGTCTGCTCAAACAGTAAAGGATTAGCATTAGTATTTTTTTAAAAAGAAGAAACAACAGTGCAGGTCTCTATATTAAAGTAGTAAGGACTGAAGAAATTTTAAGTTTGGAAAAAATGGGGATATGTATTGGTGAAACACTTTGTAATCATATAGAATGATTATTTTATCAGCAGCTGTGAAGTTGACTTCGAGGAAATTTTGAATTGAAATACTTTAGGTGACAAGTAAAGGCAACTGTGAAAAGCAACATTTGATTTTAGGGGACAGGGTACCTGTGGAAGAAGACTGGTTAGGAGTGGAAGTGAGGCGTAAAAACACTGAAATGTCTGAGGCAGGGACAATATTCAGTTTCTGTTCCTCTATCACCTAGTGCAATGTACTTGTTAAACGTTTTTGAATGAATGACAAGGGCTTTAGAGAAATTGTTTGGATATAGGGATACACATTACTATTGGAAAAAACACCCGAGATCAGAAAGTTGCTAATGAGATAGGGGTGGGGGATGAATGGTAAAGACACTGATTGTACTTTTTTGGAGTTTTCTACCATTGTGTTTTATTTCTTTTCACCGGCATGTTCAGTATGTTATTAGTGGTCAAATGAAAAGGAATAAAGTTCTATGTATATTTTTTTAAGTCTCCAAGCTCAGTACTAGATAGAATAGTTACATTATTGTTTACTTTGCTGGTGTTAAGCTAAATGTAGCAAACTGAAGCATTATGGATAGGGAATAACAAAGTAATAATGAAGAAACAGATGTTGTCTTTTTCTTATTTAAATCTCTTGACTACTTCAGAATTCAAAGTAGAAATAACTTTAGTGGGAGGTTAACATTATTTAATGCAAATAGGTTGATACAAATATAGCAAATGAGCATGCTATTAATAGTTCTGTCTTCTAGCCTTACTGTGGTAAGTTGAAGGAAGTTTTCATTTTTGTTTTTGTTGGTTTTAGGGTTTTTGTTGGTTTTTGTTTTCTTTTCCAGAGTCAGGGTACTTTTTTCTCTATCTGATACTTTCTGAAACTCTTAAGGAGTTCGGTCAAAGGTGGAAAACAATCAAATTTCTATTTTTGGTGTTTTCCTCTTTATTCTCCAAACTTGTCATGGTCTACATTCAATTTGTTGCACTCACATGGAATGTCTATCTCTCAGCCGTTTACTCATCCACAGTCTAAAGGAGACTGGCCGGGTGCGGTGGCTCACGCCTGTAATCCCAGAACTTTGGAAGGCTGAGGTGGGCGGATCACGAGGTCAGGAGATCAGGACATCGAGACCATCCTAGCAAACATGGTGAAACCCCGTCTCTACTAAAAATACAAAAAGTTAGCTGGGCATGGTGTCAGGCACCTGTAGTCCCAGCTGCTCGGGAGGCTGAGCCAGGAGAATGGCGTGAACCCGGGAGGCGGAGCTTGCAGTGAGCAGAGATTGGGCCACTGTACTCCAACCTGGGTGACCGAGCAAGACTCCGTCTCAAAAAAAAAAAAAAGTTAAATAAATAAATAAATAAATAAATAAATAAATAAATAAATAAAGGGGACTGCAGGAGCATGCTGCCCCAGTTTCTGGAAAGTCTTTCAGGATTAGGCTAATGCCCACTAAATGCACTTCTCTCTCCTACTGGGGGTGCTACACGGTTTAGCATTTAGCTCTGCAGGATACTTTCCTATAGAATTTTATCTCATATGGTTGGATCTTGTACCTCTGACTAGATTAAATATGTTTGGAGCTAAGTGCATGACTTACGCTTCTTCTGTGTTGCTTTTAGCACACGGTGGGCTTCATTGTGTACCTGATAATTTAAGTAGGGTAATAATAGAGAGGTCAAACCTTTAGTTTGGGGTCATTGCATTAATTTCTAGCTTTGCCCCTTTGGAAAAACAGAAGCTATTATTTTGTCATTGATAACTTGGGATAATAAAACCTGCAATGGTTGTCCGATAGTCTAGTTGTGAGAATCAAGATAAATGTGATTATAGATTATGAATGAAAATATCTTGTATGTCGTAATGAACTTTTTTAATATAAAGGGCTGTTAATGACTTAGGCATAGAGCAGACATTGATACCACATTCACAATGTGTTAGGTACTTCCTGGGCTCTGGAATTGCATGTCATAAAGGGTGAACAGGAAATGACCAGGTTCTTCTGAAGCAGAACAGCCTGGGCTGAGGCACGAAGGCTGGGAGAACAAGCAAGCCTTGGTTTATTGTGGCTGAACTGGAGAATACTTCTTCACGTGTATTAGCAGAAAATGGGAGGAAGTAAGGCCAGAAAGGCAAATGTGGGCCAAATCAGAAGGAACCTAAGGACCATGAGTTTATTTTCCTTAAAGGTAATAAGGAGGATTTGGGTCAGTGACTGGATCAGTTTTACATTTGGAAAGGATCACTGGCAACACTCAAATGACAGATTGGTAGAGAGCTTAAATGAGAGAACAAAAAATTGGAGATGTAGTTGAAGCTCAGTGAAGAAATGAAGAGAACTAGGAGAGCGATGGTGGGAATAAGAAGGAGGGGCCACGAAAAAAGGTAGAATTGGCAGATCTTGGTGATACAGGAGATGAGGAAGGAGAAGCCAGGGATGACAGTGGGGTGATAGAGTGGATTGTTCTGTTATTCATTGAACTCTAAAGAAGAAAAAAAAAATTTGAGGAGTTTAAGAAGTGGGGTAGATGTGTTCAGTTTGAGAAGCCTGTCATATATGTTGGGAGGTCCCATAAGTAGTAGTAGTTGGACATGTGGGTCTGGAACTAAAGGGAAAAAGTCTGAGATGAAGATAGAAATTTGGCTTAAGCATTTAGTGATTGAAGTTAAAATGTGATTATTTTCTCCAGGGATATTATGTGGAATAAGAGGGTAAAGGATAGAGCCCTGAAGTATGCACATTTTACGTTGTGGGGAGGGGCTGATGGTGGAAGAACCCACGGAGACTAAAGACCAGTGTTCAGAAAAGGGAACTGAAAATCTGGGAGGATTAATGGAAGAGTGCCTACTCCTGAGGAGTTCATGCATTGGCATTCCCCAAAATGATTATATTTTCCTCTAGTCACCATAGAACGCACAACAGAGTTCATCTATTATTGTTTTATTAAAGTTCATGTAAAATGACTACCCATTACTTTGTTAACAACAGAAATCTTCATATTTATGTTTAAAAATATTTTTGAAACATTTTTAAACAGATTTTTTAGATACAGAGTATTGCTATGTTGCCTACGCTGGTCTGGAACTCCTGGGCTCCTCCAGCCTCAGCCTTCCAAAGTGTTGGGATTCCAGGCATGAGCCACTGTGCCTGTGTCTATTTATGGATTTTTTGTCTACATTTGGGACAACAAATCAAGTAAAATGTAACTTTAGAAGTTGATTATGATTATGCCTCAAGCAAATACTTAAAAAAAAAGAGAGAGAGAGAGATGGATAAAAGTTAATTTTGTGTATGTCTCAGGTAAACTATGTTAACTTGGGGAGACCAGCAGTAACCTGTTCTTTAAATCTCAGCTTTTATTGAATCTCACACAAAATTTTTCTCAGATATGTCACTAGACTACTTAAATAAGCCAGATTAGTATTTTTGCATACTTTATTAACTCTGCTTCTACTCAGAGTAAATTAGTTTTTGGAATGGAATGCAGTCAAAAAATCATCAAAATAATATCACAAAGCACTGAGTGGTCCAGTCTTTTGAACTTCTGACAATACCTTTGACTTAGAAACTTATTTGTGGGGAGTGGTATATTAATACTCTACATAAACATTGATTGAGCTCGGGGGGACTTTCTGTAGATACATTTAAAAATATGCTTTTTAGTAGAGACAGGGTCTCACTGTGTTGTCCAGGCTAGTCTCTAACTCCTGGGCTCAAATTATCCTCCCCACTTGGCCTCCCAAAAGGATTGGATTACAGGCATGAGCCACTGCCCCAAGCCTAAAATTTTTTTAAGTACCATTAGAATGTAAGGATTCTTTTTAAAAAATTTGATTGTGCAGGGTTGGTTATTCAACCAATATGCAATACAATATTCAATACTGTATATTCATCACTTCTCGGCCTTTTGGCTAAGATCAACTGTAGTATCTGTTGTTATTAATATAATATTTTATATTCAACCAATTGTCAATACAAGGCTGGTTGTATCTGATATGAACCAACATTGAGTTAAAAATGGACCTTTTTTATTTTTAAAAAGCTAATTAACTAGATTTGCTTACTTAAAATCAAAGCAATCAACTCGTTACAAGTCTAGAAATAAGGATTTTAAAATAAATTTTGAATTTTGACCTTATCTTTTCCCAGAAAGACTTTAAATTTATACTGGAAACCAAATAGGATATATTTTTGGGAGATTTGAGGCTATTAAAACAAAGGCAAACAAAGAAGTGACCTTCTAAAAGTCCTAGTAATGATTAGGTCCATTGTTTCAATTAAAGCATACCGTGCTTGAGAGATAAAGTGTATTAAATATTTGACTGTAACTTTGTATTAGAAATATGTTTTTCAAATCTATAAAAAGATTTACAAATCTATCTTTACCATGTTTTTCAGTTTTATGGTATTTCTTCCAGACCTCTCTTCCTGACATCTCCATTAGTGTCAAGTATTTCTTCAACCCCAGTGATGCAACGTGAGCCTATTTTTTAAAATGTAGTCTGGAAGCAATGTATAACATAGTCAGGAAGCAGTATGGATATATGGTTAAGCATATACACTATACACTTAACTGGGGTTAAGCAGAGATCATACTGCCTGACTTTAAGCACCTGTCCTACCACAGATGATCTTCTAGAAGCTGTTTAAATTAAACCTCTGAAGGTTTACATTTCCTCATTTGAAAAATGGAAATAATAAAGTAAACCCTCATGAGGTCCTTAAGAGTTTAAATGAAATAATCCATATAAAGTGCTTAAGTGCTGAACATAGCATCTGGTGTGCAATAATCATTCTATAAATGCTAATTGGTAAAATTATCATCATTGTTGTTGTTAGTCCATATATACTAGTAGCATGGAACCAGGATTCTGAAAAGTGTGGCCTGCAGATCAGGGCCAGTGCAGACTTACTGGTTTGCAGTGAGATCCAGAGCTTGTGCCAGAATGTAAATAGGCGATGTCACTAAACATACTGATTAGTGTTCAGCTGACTTTTTAAAAATAGCAAGACCTCTTCAGTGTAGGAAGCAGTTAGTTGATTTACATTCTGGTGCAAGCTCTTTACCTTGCCACAAACCAGCAGCAGAGTTGACGTGGAGTATTGGACCGATGATCCCACTCTCCAAAAAATAATAGTCCTTTATTCTGAAGACGTTATTATTCACTCATAATACCTCATTAACTTTCTTTTTTTTTCTAAACATTGTAATAATAGATTATAAGTATATTGTTTATGAGTTCAGCAGATATTTATTGATCACATAGTTTGTGCACAGACCTGTATCTTATTTTGCAGGAGTTGCAAAGCTGGCTGAGAAATTAATCTTGCCTTTAAGAAGTCTACCATAAACCCGCAAGAGGAAATAAGTGAAAATCTAAATAAATGTGTTGAATATATGCAGTGAGTGTTTGCAATAGTGTTATAGCTTGGTTCCAAATATTTCAATATAGACTGATGTTTCCTTTTGCTGAGCTTCTACCACAATAGGACAGAATTAATTACCTTTTTGGAAATGGAGTCTTACTCTGATGCCCAGGTTGGAGTGCAGTGGCGCACTTCAGCTCACTGCAACCTCCGCCTCCCAGATTCAAGCGATTCTCCCACCTCAACCTCCTGAGTAGCTGAGATTACAGGCATCCGCCACCATGCCCAGCTAATTTTTGTATTTTTAGTAGAGACGGGGTTTCACTATGTTGGCCAGGCAGATCTTGAACTCCTGACCTCAAGTGATCCAACCGCCTTGGCCTCCCAAAGTTCTGGGGTTACAGGCATGAATCACCACGCCTGGCCAGAACAGAATTTATAACTTTTACTTTTTCAGCATTATGCTATCACAATAAAGTTCAGCGTTTGCTTTATTAAGATAGTATTTGAATCTTCTAGGAGATTCAGAAACCTGCATTACTAGGGAAATTTCAGTTTTAGATATAAAAACAAAATTATAACTTTTAAAGATTTGTATTGTATAAGATTATCCTTAAGTATTTTTTAAACTACTAATTTACTATTTCACCCTTCATGCAAATATATGAATTATAAATGATTGATTGTTCCATAGAATATGAAGAGACATTAAATAAATATTAAAATATTTATAAAGTTTTGGTTAAAATGAGCACAATTTCTTCTCGAAAAAATTCACTGCCAGCCTGGGCAACATAGGGAGATACTGTCTCTACAAAAATAAAAAAATAAAAATTAGCCAGGCATGGTGGTGTGTTCGTATAGTCCCACTACTGGAGAGACTGAGTCAGGATGATCAATTGAGCCCAGAAGTTGGAGGCTGCAGTGAGCTATGATCATGCCACTGCATTCCAGCCTGGGCGATGGAGTAAGACCTTGTCTTTAAAAAAAAATGCATTGCTCAAACAGAAAATGTTGAAACAAATTCTGGAGTAATATAAACATAATAATTTTTAAAAGGCAAGGTGTGTATATTTTACATATAAATATGTATATTTTATAGTATATGGTTTACAAACTATGAGTCAGATCATGAGACAGATTTATTTTTGCAGACTAATTTACTGTTGAGAGGGCTTAGGGAAAAAAGGAAAATAATGCAAAATGTTCAAGTCCAGAAATGTTATTTCATTTTTAATACTTCTTAGAATGTTTTGCGTGGAAGTGGATGTATTGGTTTCTCTTATTGCCATGCTTGGTGCACCTGCTCGTAATCACTTTTATTGTGCCTTTTGCCATAAATTGTTACCTAATCTCACTAATGACTTTAAGAAAATTGAAGGTGGGTGTTAGAAAGATTATAGGTAATATTAAAGAATATAAGGCAGGCATGGTGGTGTGTACCTGTAGTTCCAGCTACTCGGAAAGCTAAGGCAGCAGGATCACTTGAGCCCAGGAGTTGAATACAGCCTGGGCAACATAGACTCTGTCCCTATTTCTAAAATTTTAAAAAAAAATACACACACAAACACATACAATGTAAAATAAAGAAAAGAGAGTAACCCGAAATTTAAGAGGAGAATTATAAGGAAAAACAGAGTAAAAAATGAAATTTGGATCAAGAAATGACTAGGTAAGTTAGACCCATGGCACTGTAATCACAACTTTTTTACCATAGCAGATCAGGTATTTTGCGATCTGTCCCCTATCTCATCTTTGAACTCATCTTGTACCAAAGTCTTTCCCTCCAATTAGGTACCAGCCACCCTTGCCTTCTTTTAGGTAATTGTCTGTAAGGTTGAGTCTACATATCATAGACAAAGAATTTATATTTCCACACCCCACCCTCAGCCTCACCTAACCAGACCTGTCTGTTCAAACTGTGTCCCTACCACACATAGTAGGTCCTCAAATATTGGTTGAAAAAGTAAATGGAAAACGCAAAAATGGAGGCATTAAGGATGAGAAAACTTGAGGACACAGAAGATGTATTAGATTTTGAATGATATCGATGATAAAATACAATCAGATGTTGCTCTTAGAAGCATATGATCCCTAAAGGATAGAAAATGACTCATTTATTATTTACTCAGCCCACAATTATTAATTAGTCACCCACTATATTTGGATTTAGGAGTGGAAATTACCAGTGAAGAAGGTATAGCTCCAATAACAGTGTAAGTAAAGAGACAGAAAGACATGGGGAAAAGATAATCACTAGTACAAACGGTTCAAGAGTCACCTCATACTTGATGTTGCCTCCTCAGCATGTGTGGTTTACAAGCGGTCCCACAAAGATCAATGATCTGCTAGAGCAAGCGTGATACATGCCATTGTCTGAATCTCAGTGCAGCTTTGTACTTTTCAACATAATAACTCTTCTGAATTGATCAAGAAGAAAGCAGCTTTAATACATGTTGAAAGGAGTTAATTTGGGGTTTGGATGTATGATTCAAGGGACGACCAGGGGCCTCTACAAATATTCCAGTTTGTGGGCTTGTGAGTCTTAAAGAATTCTAAGAATAGCAAGAGTCTATCATATATCATAAACAGAAGGGAACAAAAAAGTCACATAAATCCAGAAACATAGTGAATTCCTGATAGAAGTGTTTAAACTCTATGCAGCAGTAGTAAACTAGCTTGAACTTAGCTAAGAGTGAAATAATGAAGGATGTAACTATGCAAGATAGACTGCAGTGGAGACACTAAGCCCCTGCTTCATAGAGCTCACATTCCAGTGAAGGGCACCAACAGAAAACAAAGAGGGAAAATATATACATTATGTTAGGTGGTGGTCTTAAGGAGAAAAAATGAAGCAGTTAAAGAGGTTAGGAAGTGGTTTTTGGGAGTGTGGGAGAGTGGTAAAAGTTTAGATAGGGTGGCCAGGGAAGCCTTTACTCAGCTGCCATTTGGTAACAACCTTTATGCAGCAAGGAAGATAGCCATTTGGATATCTGAGGGAGGAACATTTCAGACGTACAGAAATGTGAACACCAAGTCCCAGAGGCAGGCATCTGCCATGGTGTTTGAGGAATAGCAGGGGAGCCATCAGGCTAGGGAAGACTGAAGTAGGAGCTGTTGCAACTGAGGGCGGAGAGGCGATGGGTCCAGATCATAAAGTGATTGTTGGTCCTCTTAAGGATTTTGGTTTTTCCTCAGAGTGAGATGAGATGGGAAGTATTGGAGACTATTGAGCAGAGGAGACATGAGCTGACTTTAATAGGATGACTCTGACTGCAGGCTTGTGACCTGATTGTAACAACAAATGTTTTTCTCTTTTTTTGTTTTTTATTTTTTGATACAGAGTCTCTGGGAACTCCAGCTCTGTTCCCTGGGCTGGAGTGCAGTGGCCCAATCTCAGCCCACTGCAACCAACGCCTCCTCTGTTCAAGGGATTCTCCTGCCTCAGCTTCCCAAGTAGCTTGGAATACAGGTGCGTATCACCATGCCTGGATAATTTTGTACATTTTTTTAGAGATGGGGGCAGGTCTTGCTATGTTGCCCAGGCTGGTCCCAAACTCCTGGCCTCCAGTGATCCTCCCGACTTGACCTTCCAAAGTTCTAGGATTACAGGCATGAGCCATGTAGCCTGACCATTTTTTTATTTTATATTTTCTCTTTTTTAGAGATGGGGATCTCACTATGTTGACCAAGCTGGCTTTGAACTCCTGGCCTCAAGTGATCTTCCCATCTCAGTCTCCCAAAGTGCTGGGAGTACAGGTATGAGCCACTGTGCCTGGCCTCTTTGTTTTTGTCAAGTTTTTGAGGTGTAAGTGTTCTTTATATACTCAATATTAAGCAATACCCTGTCTCTTAAAAACAAAATGATACAACCAAGCGCGGTGGCTCATGCCTGTAATCTCAGCATTTTGGGAGGCCGAGGTGGGTGAATCACCAGAGGACAGAAGTTCGAGACCAGCCTGGACAACCTGGTGAAACTCCATCTCTACTAAAAATACAAAATTGGCTGGGTGTGGTGGCACATGCTTGTGATCCCAGGAACTTGGGAGGGTGAGGCAGAAAGAATTCCTTGAATTTGGGAGGCAGAGGTTGCAGTGAGCCGAGATCATGTCACTGCACTCCAGCGTTGGACAACAAAAGGGAATCTCCATCTCAAAAAAAAGCTATTAGTCCCTTACCAGATATACGATTTGCAAATATTTTCTTACATTCTGTAGGTTGTCTTGTCTTGATACTGTATGTCATTTTTTATGCTCTTTTATTTTTTGTTCTTACTGTTCCCTCTTTTATTTGTCTAAGCACTTTAAGTAATATTCTTTTGCGTGCTATATAATCATTCAAGTGGCTGAAATCCAACTAACCATTTTTCTCCTATTGACTATTCCTCATGACGGATTATTTCTTCAGATATTTTGTAACATTTGCTTAACTGGTTTTAAATTATGAAAATTGAGAAAGATTCTTTACTTCGTGAAACTTTGGTCAGGCTCCTAAACCTTCTCTGGAAAGGAATAGAATGGAATGGAATGGAATGGAGATGAATGGAATGGACTCCAATGAAATGGAATGGAATGGAGTCGAATGGAAAGGAACGGACTTGAATGGAATGGAATGGAATGGAATGGACTCAAAAGGAATGGAATGGAATGGACTCAAGTGGAATGGAATGGACTTGAACGCAATAGAATGGAATGGAATGGACTCGAAAGGAATGGAATGGAATGAACAGGAATGGAATGGAATGGAATGGAATGAAGTGGAATGGAATGGACTGTAACGGAATGCAATAGACTGGAGTGATATGGAATAGAAAGGATTCGAATGGAAAGGAATGGACTCTAGTGGAAAGGAATGGAATAGAATAGGCTCGAATGGAATGGAGTGGAATGGATTCGAATCAAATGGAATGGAATTGAATGGATTCTAGTCAAACGGAATGTAATGGTATGGAATGTACGCGAATGGAATGGAATGGAATGGACTCGAATGGAATGGAATGGAATGGACAGGAATAAAATGGAATGGAAGAGATAGGAATGGATTGGAATGGAATTGAATTGAATGCAATGGACTCAAATGCAATGGAATGCACTCGAATGGAATGGAATGGAATGCAATTGAATGAACTCGAATGGAATAGAGCAGAATTTACTGGATTGGAATATAATGGTACAGACTCTAATGGAATAGAATGGAATGGATTCAAATGGAATAGAATGGAATGGAATGGACTCAAATGGAATGGAATGGAATGGACACAAAAGGTATGGAATGGAATGGGATGGAATGGAATGGACTGGAATGGAAGGGAATGGAATGGAGTGGAATGCAACGGAATGGACTTGAAGGGAATAGAATGGAATGGAAAGGAATGGACTCGAATGAAATGGAATGGAAAGGACTCAAATGCAATAGAATGGATTCGAATGTAATGTAATGCAATTGAATGGACTCGAATGGAATGGACTCAAGAGGAATGTAATGGAGTGGACTCGAAAGAAATGGAATGCAGTGGAAGGAACTCGAATGGCACGCAATGGAATGGAATAGACTCGAATGGAATGGAATGCAATGGACTCGAATGGAGTGGAAAGGAATGGACGCGAATGGAATGGAATGGAATGGAGAGGAATGGAATAGAATAGAATGGAATGGAATAGAATGGAATGGAATAGAAAAGAATGGAATGGATTTTAATCGAATGGAATGGAATGGAATGGAAAGGAATGGACTCGAATGGGGTAGAATGGACTCGAATGGAATGGAATGGAATGGAATAGATTCGAGTGGAATATAGTGGAATAGTCTAGAATGGAATTCAAAGGAATAAACACCAATGGAATGGAATGGACATGAATAGAAAGGAAAGGAAATGACTCGAGTGGAATGGAATGGAAAGCAATGGAAAGGAAAAGAAATGACTCGAGTGGAATGGAATGGAATGAAATGGAATGGAATGGAATGCTCTCGAATGCAATGGAATGGAATTGACTCGAATAGAATAGAAAGGAATGGACTCGAATAGAATGGAATGGAATGGAATGGGATCGAAAGCAATGGAGTGAAATGGACTGGAACGGAATGGAAAGGAGTTAAATGGACTGGAATCGAATGGAATGCAACGGACTCGAATGGGATGGAATGGAAAGGACACGAATGAAATGGAATGGAATGGAATGGAATGGGATGGAATGAAATGGAGTGGAATGCAATGAGATGGTATGGTATGGATTGGAATGGACTTGAATGGAATAGAAAGGGATGGAATGGAATGGAATGAATTTAAAAACAATGGAATGGAATGGAATCCAATGGAATGGAAAGGCCACGAATGGAATGGAATGGACTCGAATGGAAAAGATTGGAGTTTAGTGGAATGGAATCTAATGGAATGGAATGGAATGGATTCGAATGTAATAGAATGGAATCGAATGGAAAGGAATGTACTGTAATGGAATGGAATGGAATCGAATGCAATGGAATTTAAAGGACTCGATTGCAATGGAATGTACTCGAATGGAATGGAATGGAAAGGAAACAACTCGAGTGGAATGAAATGGAATGGAATGGAGTCGCATGTAATGGAATGGGATTGAATGGAATCGCATGGAATGGAATGCAATGGAATGGAATGGCAGGGTCTCGAATGGAATGGAATGGAATGCAATTGAATGGAATCAAATGGAATGGAATGGAATTGACTCGAATGGAATTGAATGGAATGGACCAGAATGGAATTAAATGTAACGGAATGGACACGAATGAAATGGACTCGAATGGAATGGAAAGGAATGGAATGGAATGGAATGGAATGGAATGGAATGGAATGGAATGGAAAGGAATGGAATGGAATGGAATGGAATGGAATGGAATGGAATGGAATGGAATGGAATGATTTCGAATCAAATGACATGGAATGAACTCGAATGCAATGGGTTGGGATTGGATGGTCTCGAATGTAATGGAATGGAATGAACTCAAATGGAATGGAATGGAATAGAATAGACTAGAATATAATGGAATGGAAATGGCTCGAAAGGAATGGAATTGATTCGAGTGGAATAGAATGGACATGAAAGGAATAGAATGGAATGGACTCAAATGGAATGGAATGCAATGGACTCAAATGGAATAGAGTGGAATGGAATGGAATCGAACGCAATGCAATGGAATGGACTCGAACAGAATGGAATGGACTCCAGTGGAATGGTATGGTCTCAAAAAGAATGGAATGGAATGGAACAGACACAAATGGAATAGCTTGGAATGGAATCGAATCTAATAGAGTGGAATGGAATGGATTCGAATGGAATGGAGTGTAATGGAATCGAACGGAAAGGAATGGAATTTAATGGACTACAATGGAATGGAATGGAATTGAATGGACTCAAAAGGAATGGATGGGAATGGAATGGAATGGAATGGAATGGACTCGAATAGAATGGAAGGGACTCGAATGGAGTGGAGCCGAACGGATTTGAAAGGAAGGTAATGGAATGGAAGGGAAAGAACTCGAATGTAATGGAATGGACTCGAATGGAATGGAAGGGACACAGAGTGTAGCCGAATGGATTTGAAAGGAATGGAATGGAATGAACTCGAAGGGAATGGAATGGAACGGAATGAAATGGACTCGAATGGAATGGCATGGAATGGAGTCGATGGAATGGAATGGAATGGAATGGCATAAAATGGAATGGAATGGAATCGAATGTAATGCAGTTGAATAGAATGTACCTGAAAGGAATGGAGTGGACTGGAATGGAATGAAATGGACTTGTATGGAATGGAATGGAATGGAAGGGAACGGACTCAAATGAAATGGAATGGACACGAAACGAATGGAATGGAATAGAATCGACTAGAGTGGAATGGAAAGGAATGGACTCGAATGAAATGGAATGCAGAGGAATGGACTGGAATGGAATGCAATGGAATGAAATAAACACGAATGGAATGGAATGGAATGGAATGGAATGGAATGGAATGGAATGGAATGGAATGGACTCGAATAGAATGGGATGGAATGGACCTGTATGGAATGGAATGGAAGGGAAGGGAACAAAACGGAAAAGAATGGATTGGAATAGAATGGAATGGAATGGAGTGGACTCAAATGGAATGGAATGGAATGGACTCGAATGGAATAGAATGGAATTTACTGGATTGGAAACTAACAGAATTGACTCTAAAGAAATGGAATGGAATGGACTCGAATTGAAGCGAACGGAATGGAAAGGACTTAAATGGAATGGAAAGGAATGGAATGGAACTGAATGGAATGGAGTTGAATGCAATAGAATGGAATGGAATGGAATGGACTCGAATTAAATGGAATGGAATGGAGTCAAATGGAATGGAATGGAATGGAATGGACTCAAAAGGAATGGAATGGAATGGAATCAAGTGGAATGGAATGGACTCGAATGCAATAGAATTGAATGGAATGGAATCGAATGAAATGGAATGAAATGGACAAAAATGGAATGGAATTGAATGGAATGGAATGGACTGAAATAGAATAGAATGGAATGACTTGAATGGAATAGAATGGAAAAGAATGGAATGGACAAGAATGATATAGAATAGAAAGGACTCGAATGGAATGGAATATACGCTAGTGGAGTGGAATGGAATAGAATGGAATCAAATGGAATGGAGTGGAATGGAATTCAATGGATTCGATTCAAACGGAATGTAAAGGTATGGAATGGACTCGAATGGAATGGAATGGAATGGACTTGAATGGAATGGAAAGGAATAAAATGGAATGGAATCGAATGGAATGGAATGAAATGGACACGAAAGTTATGGAATGGAATGGGATAGAATGGAAGGGACTGGAATGGAAGGGAATGGAATGGAGTGGAATGGAACGGATTGGACTTAAATGGAATAGAATGGAAAGGAAAGGAATGCACGCAAAGGAAATGGAATGGAAAGGACTCAAATGCAATGGAATGGATTCGAATGGAATGATATGGACTTGAATGTAATGGAAAGGAATGGACTCAGGTGGAATGGAATAGATTGGACTCGAATGAAATGGAATGCATGGGAAAGAACTCGAATGGCATGCAATGGAATGGAATGGACTCGAATGGAATGGAATGGAATTGACTCGAATGGAGTGGAATGGAATGGACACGAATGGAATGGAACGGAATGGAATGGAATGGAATGTATTGGAATGGAATGGAGAGGAATGGAATGGAATGGATTGGAATAGAATGGAAAGGAATGGAATGGAATAGAAAAGGAATGGAATGGAATGGAATGGAATGGATTGGAATGGATTTTAATCGACTGGAATGGAATGGAATGGAGTCAAATGGAGTGGAATGGACTCGAATAGAATGGAATGGAATGGAACACACTCGAGTGGAATAGAGTGGAATTGACTCGAATGGAATTCAATGGAATGAACTCCAATGGAATGGAATGGACCCGAATGGAATAGAATGGAATGGAATGCAAACGACTTGAGTGGAATGGAATGGATTGCAAAGGAATGGAAAGGAAATTAGTGGAGTGGAATGGAATGGAATGGAATGTACTCGAATGGAATGGAATGGAATTGACTCGAATGGAATAGAAAGGAATGGACTCGAATAGAATGGAATGGAAAGGAATGGACTCGAATGCAATGGAGTGGAATGGACTCCAATGGAATGGAAAGGAATTGACTCAATTGGAATAGAATGGAATGGAATAGACTCTAAAGGAATGGAATGGAATGGACACGAAACGTATGGAATGGAATGGGATGGAATGGAATGGACTGGAATGGAAGGGAATGGAAAGGACAGGAATGGAATGGAATGCTATGGGATGGTAAGCTTTGGATAGGAATGGACTTGAATGGAATAGAAAGGGATGGACTGGGATGAATTTAAACAGAATGGAATGGAATGGAATGGACTCCAATGGAATGGAAAGGCCACGAATTGAATGGAATTGAATGGAACAGACTCGAATGCAATAGATGGGAATTTAGTGGAATGGACTCTGATGGAAAGGAATGGAATGGAATTGAATGTAATAGAATGGAATGGAATGGAAAGGAATGTAATTTAATAGAATGGAATGGAATCAAATGGAATGGAATTTAAAGGACTTCAATGGAATGAAATGTACTCAAATTGAATGGGATGGAATGGAAACGACTTGAGTAGAATGAAATGGAATGGAATGGAATCGAATGTAACGGAATGGGATTGAATGGACTCGAATGGAATGTAATGGAATGGAATGGCATGGTCTCAAAAGGAATGGAATGCAATGGAGTTGAATGGACTCAAATGGAATGAAATGGAATTGACATGAATGGAATTGAATGGAATGGAAAGGAATGGAATTAAGTGTAATGGAATGGACACAAATGAAATGGAAAAAAATGGACTCGAATGGACTCGAATGGAATGGAATGGAATGGAATGGAAAGGAATGATTTCAAATCAAAGGACATGGAATAGACTCAAACGGAATGGGTTCGGATTGGATGGTCTCGAATGTAATAGAATGGAATGGACTCAAATGGAATGGAATGGAATAGAATGCTCTCGAATATAACAGAATGGAATTGGCTCGAATGGAATGAAATTGATTCGAGTGGAATGGAATGGTCACGAGTGGAATAGAATGCAATGGATTCGAATGGAATGGAGTGGAATGGAATGGACTCTAATGGAATGGAATGGACTCAAATGGAATATATTGGAATGGAATGGACTTGAATTCAATGGAATGGAATGGACTTGAATGAAATGAAATGGACTGGAATGGAAAGAAATGGACTCCAGTGGAATGGAATGCAATGGTATGGTCTCAAAAGGAACGGAAAGGAATGGAACGGATTCAAATGGAATAGAATGGAATGGACTCGAATCTAATGGAGTGGAATTGAATGGACTCATATGGAATGGAGTGTAATGGAATTGAGAGGAATGGAAAGGAATTTAAAGGACTCAAATGGAATGGAATGGAATTGAATGGACCCAAAAGTTATGGATAGGAAAGGAATGGAAAGGAATGGAATGGACAGGAATGGAATGGAAGGAACTCGAATGGAATGGACTTGAAAGGAATCCACTCGAGTGAAAAGGAATTGAATGGAATGGATTGAAATTGAATGGAATGGAATGGAATGGAATTGACTTCAATGGAATAGAATGGAATGGACTCGAAGGGAATGAAATAGAATGCAATGGACTCGAATGGAATAGAGTGGAATGGAACAGAATGGAAAAGAATGGAATGGAGTCCAATGGAATGATGTGGAATGGAATGGACAAGAATGGAATTGAGTGGAATGGACTCGAATGGAGTGGAATGGAATTGAAAGGACAGGAATGGAATGTAATGGAATGCAATGGAATGGAATGGAATGCAATGGAATGCAATGGAATGGAATGGAATGCAATGGAATGGAATGGAATGGAATGCAATGGAATGGAATGGAATGGAATGCAATGGAATGGAATGGAATGGAATGGAATGGAATGGAATGGAATGCAATGGAATGGAATGGAATGGAATGGAATGGAATGCAATGGAATGGAATGGAATGGAATGCAATGGAATGGAATGGAATGGAATGGAATGGAATGGAATGGAATGCAATGGAATGGAATGGAATGGAATGCAATGCAATGGAATGGAATAGAATGGAATGCAATGGAATGGAATGGAATGGAATGGAATGGAATGGAATGGAATGGAATGGAATGGAATGCAATGGAATGGAATGCAATGGAATGCAATGGAATGGAATGCAATGGAATGCAATGGAATGGAATGCAATGGAATGGAATGGAATGGAATGGAATGGAATGGAATGGAATGGAATGCAATGAAATGGAAAGGAATGGAATGGAATGGAATCAAATGGAATGGAAAGGAATGGAATCGAATGGAAAGGAACGTAATGGAATGAAATGGGATCGAATGCAACGGAGTGGAATGGGCAGGAATGGAATAGAATGGAAACGAAAAGAATGTAATGGAATGGAATGGACTCCAATGGAAATCAACCGAATTGAATGGACTCGAAAGGAATGGAATTGAATGGAATGGAATGGAATGATATGGACTCGAATAGAATGGAATGGAATAGAAAGGAATGGAATGGTATCAAATGGAAGTGAATGGAAAGCAATGGAATGGACTCAAATGGAATGCAATCGAATTGACTCAATTGGAATAGAATGGAATGGAATAGACTCTAAAGGAATGGAATGGAATGGACACGAAACGAATGGAATGGAATGGGATGGAATGGAATGGACTGGAATGGAAGGGAATGGAACGGAGTGGAATGAAAGGGAATGGAACGGAGTGGAATGGAAAGGAATGGAATTGAATGGAATAGAAAGCAACGGAATGGAATGGATTCCAATGAAATGGAATGGAAAGGAATCGAATGCAACAGAATGGATTCGAATGGAATGGAATAGAATGGAAAGGACTCAAAAGGAATGGAACGGAATGGACTCAAGTGGAATGAAATAGAATGGACTCGAAAGGAATAGAATGGAATGGAATGTACTCGAATGGAATGGAATTGAATGGACACGAATTGAATGGAATGAAGTGGAATGGAATGAACTGGAATGGAATGGAATGGAATGGAGTGGAATGGAAAGGAATGGACATGAAGTGAATAGAATGGAGTGGAATGGAATGGACTCGAATGAAATGGAATGGAAAGGACTTGAATGCAATGGAATGGCCTCGAATGAAATGTAATGGATTGGTATGGACTCGAACGGAATGGAATAGAATGGACTAAAGAGGAATGAAATGAAATATATTCGAATGGAATATAATGGAAAGGAAAGGGCTTGTATGGAATGGAATGGACACGAATTGAATGGAATGGAATGGAGAGGAATGGAAGGGAATGGAATAGAATGGAATGGAACGGAAAGGAATGGAATGGAATGGAATGGGCTAGAATGGAAGAGAATGGAATGGAATGGAATGCACTCGAATGAAATGCAATGGAATGGACTCTAATGGAATGGAATGGACACGAGTGGAATGGAATGGAATCGAATGGACCGGAATGGAAAGGAATCAAATGGAATTTAATGGCATGGAATGGAATGGAATGGAATGAACTCAAATGGAATGCAGTGGAATGGATTCGAGTGGAATGGATTGGAATTGAATGGACTCGAGTCGAACGGAATGTAATAGTATGGAATGGACTCGAATGGAATGCAATGGAATGGAATGGAATGAAAGGGACTCAAAGAAATGGAATGGAATGGAATGGACTCAAAACAAATGGAATGTAAAGGACTCGAATGGAAAGGAATGGACTCAAATGTAATGTTTTGGAATGGAATATACTCGAATGGAATGGAATGCAATGGACTCAAGTGGAATGGAATGGAATGGACTTGAATGGAAAAGAATGGAAAGTACTCGAATGGAATGGAATGGAATGGACATGAATGGAATGGAAAGAATTGGAATCGAATGAACTGGAATGGAATGGAATGGAATGGACTGAACTGGAATGGAATGGAATGGAGAGGAATGGAAAGGAATAGACATGAATGGAAAAGAATGGAATGGTATGGAATGGACTCGAATGAAACGGAATGGAAAGGATTGAATACAATGGGATGGAATCGAATGGAATGTAATGAATTGGAATGGACTCCAATGGAATGGAATGGAATGGACTAAAGAAGAATGAAATGAAATATATTCGAATGGAATATAATGGAAAGGAAAGGGCTCGTATGGAATGGAATGGACACGAATGGAATGGAATGGAGTGGAATGGACTGGACTGGAATGGAATGGAATGGAATGGACAGGAATGAAAAGGAATGGAATGGGCTAGAATGGATTAGAATGGAATGGAATGGAATGAACTCGAATGAAATGGAATGGAATGGACTCAAATGGAATGAAATGGACAAGAGTGGAATGGAATGGAATCAAATGGAATGGAATGGAAAGGAATCGAATGGAATTTAATTGAATGGAATGGAATGGACTCGAATGGAATTCAGTGGAATGGATTCGAATGGAATGGATTGGAATTGAATGGACTCGAGTCGAACGGAATGTAATAGTAAGGAATGGACTCAAATGGAATGGAATGGAATGGAAGGGAATGAAAGGGACTCGAAGAAATGGAATGGAATAGAATGGACTCGAATGAAATGGAATGGAAAGGACTCCAATGCAAAGGAATGGACTCGAATGTAATGTAACGGAATGGAATGGACTCGAATGGAATGGAACGGAATGGACTCAAGTGGAATGGAATGGAATGGACTCGAATGGAATGGACTCGAATGGAATGGAATTGAATGGACATGAATGGAATGGAATGAAGTGGAATGGAATGGACTTGAATGGAATGGAATGGAATGGACTGGAATGGAATGGAAAGGAATGCAATGGAATATAATGGAATGGAATGGACACAAATGGTATGGAATGGAATGGAACGGACTCGAAAGCAATGTAATGGAATGTAATGGACTAGAAAGGAATTGAAAGGAATGGAATGGAATTGACTGGAATGGATTGGAATCGAATGGAAGGGAATGGAATGGACTCCAATGGAATGGAATGTTCTCGGAGGGAATGGAATGGAATGAAAACGACTAGAGTGGAATGGAATGGACTCTAATGGGATGGAATGGAATTGAATAGACACCAATGGAATGGAATGCGCTCGAATGGAATGGAATGGAATTGACACTAATGGAATTGAAGGGAATGGACCCGAGTGGAAGGAATGGAATACAATGGAATGTATTTCAATTGAATGCAATGGAATTCATTGGACTCAAATGGAATGGAATGGAATGGAAAAGAATGGAATGGAATGGATAAGAATGGAATGGAATAGAATGGAATGGACCCGAATGTAATGGAATGGACTCAAATGGAATAGCATGGAATGGAATGGAATGGACTCAAATGGATTAGCACGGAATGGAATGCACTTGAATACAATGGAGTGGAATGGACCCGCATGGAATGGAATGGCATTGAATGGATCCAAATGCAATGGAATGTAACGGAATGGAATGAACTCCAATGGAATGGAATGGAATGGAATGAAATGTGCTCGAATGCATTGTAATGGAATGGAATAGACTCGAATGGAATGGAATGGAATCGAATGGAATGCAATGGAATGGAAACGAAAGGAGTGCTGTTGAATTGAATGGACACAAAACGAATGGAATGGAATGGAATGGAATGCAATGGACTCGAAGGGAATGCAATGGAAATGACTGAAATGGAATGGAATGGACTCGAATGGATTGGAATGGAATGGACTGGACTCGAATGGAATGGCATGCATTGCACCCGAATGGAATGGAATGTTATGGAAAGTAATGGACTCGAATGGAATGGAACGGAATGGAATTCACCCAAATGAAGTGGAATGGAATGCAATGGAGTCGAATTGAATGGAATGCAATGGACACGAATGGAATGGAATGGAATGGAATGGTATGGACTAGAATGGACTGGAATGCCATAGATTAGAATGGAATTGACGCGAATGCAATGGAATGTAATGGACTCAAAAGGAATGGAGAGGACTCAAACGGCATGGAATGGACTGGGCTCAAATGGAATGGAATGGAATTGAATGGACTCGAATGGAATGGAATGTAACGGAATGGAATGAACTCGAATGGAATGGAATGGATTCGAATGGAATAGAATGGATATGAATGAGATGGAACGGAATGGACTAAAATAGAATGGAATGCAATGGAATCGACTCGAATGAAATGGAATGCAGTGGAATGGACTGGAATGGCATGCAATGGAATGGAAGAAACTCGAATGGAATCGAATGAACTCGAATGGAAGGGAATGGAATGGTCGCGAATGGAATGGAAAGGAATGGCATGGAATGTAATGGAAAGGAATGGAATAGAATTGATTAGAAAGGATTCGAACAGAATGGAATGGAATGGAATAGACTGAAATGGAATGGAATACAATGGACTCGAATTGAATAGAGTGCAATGTACTGGATTGGAATTTAACGGAATTTGACACTAATGAAATGGGATGAAATGGACTCGAATGAAATCGAATGGAGTGGAATGGACTCGTATGGAATGGAATGGAATGGACACGAATGCAATGGAATGGAATTGAATGGAATGGAATGGAATTGAATGGAATGGAATGGAGTTGAATGGAATAGAATGGAATGGACTCGAATAAAATGGAATGGAATGGAGTCGAATGGAATGGAATGGACTCAAATGGATTAGAATGGCATGGACACAAATGGAATGGATTGGAATGGCATGGACAAGAATGGAGTAGAATGGAATGGACTTGAATGGAATGGAATTGAATGGAATGGACTTGAATGGAATAGAATGGAATGGAATGGAATGGAATGGCCTGTAATGTAATCGAATGGAATTCAATGGAATGGAAGTTAATGGAATGGAATAAAATGGAATGGACATGAATCGAATAGTATTGAAACGAATGGAATGGACTCCAATGAAATGGAATCGAAAGGACTCTAATGGAATGGAATTGACTCCACTGGAATGGAATGAATTGGAATGGACTCAAATGGAATGGAGAGGAATGGATTCGAATGGAATGGAATGGAATTGACTACAATGGAATAGAAAGGAATGGATTCGAATGGATTTGAATATAATGGAATGGACTCAAATGGAATAGAGTGGAATGTAATCCAATGGAATTCGAATGGAATTGAATGGACTCAAATCAAATGGAATGTAATGGATTGGAATGGATTCGAAAAGAATGGAGCTGAATGGAGTCTAAAGGAATGCAATGGACTCGAATGCAATGGAATGGAATGGACTCGAATGGAGTAGAATGGAATGGAATGGACTTATAAGAAATGGAATTGAATGGACACGAAATGTATGGAAAGGAATGAGACGGAATGAAACGGACTAGAATGGAATGGAAAGGAATGGATTGGAATGGAATGGAATCGACTTTAATGGAATAGAATGGAATGGAATGGAATGTACACGAATGGAATGGAATTGAATGGACATGAATGGAATGGAAAGAAGTGGAATGGAATGGACTGGGATGAAATGGAATGGAATGAAATGGACTGGAATGGAATGGAATGGAATGGAATGGAGTGGAATGCAAAGGAATGGACTTGAATGGAATAGAATGGAGTGGAATGGAATGGACTCGAATGAAATTGAATGGAAAGGATTTGGAAGCAATGGAATGGACTCGAAAGGAATGTAATTGATTGGAATGGAGTGGAATGGAATGGAATGGAATGGACTCAAGTGCAATGGAATGGAATGGAGTCGAATGGAATAGAATGGAATGGAGTGGAATCGAATAGAATAGAATATAATGGAATGGACTCGAATGGAATAGATTGGACCTGAATGGAAAGTAATGGAATGTAATGGAATGGACCTTAATGGAAAGTAATGGAATGGAATACAATGGACTGTAAATGAATCGAATGCAATGGAATGGAATGTAAGGTAAAGGAAAGGAATGGAAAGGAATGGACTTGAATGGAATAGATTGGAAGTGAATGGAATAGACACAAATGATTTGGAATGGAATGGACTCTAATGGAATGGAATTGACTTGACTGCAATGGAATGAAATGGAATGGACTCAAATGGAATGGAGTGGAATGGATTCGAATAGAATGGAATGGAATTGACTAGAATGCAATAGAAAGGAATGGACTCGATTGGATTGGAATATGATGGAATGGATCAAATGGAATGTAGTTAAAAGGAATCGAAAGGAATTCGTATGGAATTGAATGGACACGAATTGAAAGGAATGTAATGGAATGGAATGGACTCGAAAGGAATGGCGTGGAATGGCCACGAGTGGAATGGAATGGACTCGAATGGATTGGAATGGAATGGAATTGAGTGGAATGGAATAGAATGGAATGGAGAGGAAGGGAATGGAAAGGAATGAAATGGAAAAGAAAGGAATGGAATGGAATTCCATAGAATGGACTGGAATGTGTTAGAATTGAATGGAATGGAATGGTCTCAAATGCATTGGAATGGACTCGGATGGAATGGAATGGAATGGAATGGAATGGAATGGACTCGAATGGATTTCAGTGGAATTTACTAGATTGGAATCTAATGGAATGAACTCGAATGAAATGGAATGGAATGGAATGGAATGGACTCGAATGGAATGGAATGGAATGGAATGGACTCGAATGGAATAGAATGGAATGGAATGGACATGAAACGTATGGAATGGAATGGGATGGAATGGAATGGAATGGAAGGGAAGGGAATGGACTGGTTTGGAATGGAATGGAATGGAGTTGAATGTCATAGAATGGAATGGAATGGAATGGACTCGAATGAAATGGAATGGAAAGTAATCGAATGCAATGCAATGGATTCAAATGTAAGGTAATAGAATGGAATGAATTCGAATGGAATGGAATGGACTGAAGTGGAATGGAATGGAATGGACTCTAATGGAATAGAATGGAATGGAATGGACTCGAATGGAACAGAATGGAATGGAATGGAATGTACTCGAATGGAATGAAATTGAATGGACAAGAATGGAATGGAATAGAAAGGAATGGAATGGCACGGAACAGAATGGAACTGACTGGAATGGATAGCAACGGACTTAATTGGAATACAATGGAGTGGAAGGGAATGCACTCGAATGAAATGGAATGGAAAGGACTTGAAAGCAATGGAATGGACACGAATGTAATGTAATGGAATGGAATGGACTCGAATGGAATGGAATGGAATGGACCCACCACGATTGGAATGGAATACACTCGAATGGAATAAAATGGAAAGGTTTGGGCTCGAGTGGAATGGAATGGACATGAATGGAATGGAATAGAGTGAAATGGAATGGACTGTAAAGTAATGGAATGGACTTGAATGGAAAAGAACGGAATGGAAAGGAATGGACTCGAATGAAATGGAATGGAATGGACTTGAATGGAAAGGAATGGACACGAGTAGAATGGAATGGAATGGACTCGAAAGGAATGGAATTGAAATCAATCGAATAGAATGGAATGGAATGGAATGGAATGGAATGGAATGGACTCGAATGGAATGGACTGGAATGGATACGAAAGGAATGGAATTTAATTGAATGGATTCGAGTTGAATGGAATGTAATGGTATGGAATGCACTCGAATTGAACGGAATGGAATGCAATGACAGGGACGCGAATGAAATGGAATGGAATGGAATGAACTCGAATTTAAAGCAATGGATTGTAATGGAATGGAATGGACTCAAATGGTACGGAATGGAATTGATTGGAATCGAAAGGAGTTGAATGGAATGGAATGGACTCGAAAGGATTGGATTGGAATGGAATGGAATGGAATGGAATGGACTAGAATGGAAGGGAATGGAATGGACTCCAATGGAATGAAATGGTCTCGAAGGAAATGGAATGGAATGAAAACGACTCGAGTGGAATTGAATGGAATGCAATGGACTCTAATGGGATAGAATGAAATTGAATGGACTCTAATGGAATGGAGTGGTATGGAATGGAACGGAATGGACTGGAATGGAATGGAATGCAGTTGAATTGAGTGGATCCGAAAAGAATGGAAGGGAATGGAATAGAATGGAATGGAATGGAACGGAATAGACTTGAGTGGGACGGAATGGAGTGGAGAGGACTCTAATGGAATGGAATTGAATGGACTCAAATGGAATGGAATGGAATGGAAGAGAATGGACTTGAATGAGATGGAATGGAATGGAAAGGACTCTAATAGAAAGAAATGTAATGGACCCGAATGTAATGTAATGGAATGGAATGGAATGGAGAGGTACGGAATGGAATTGACCCGAATGGAATGAAATGGACTCGAATGGAATGAAATGTAATGTAATGGAATGGAATGGACTCGAATGGAATGGAATGGAATAGAATGGAAAGGAATGGAATGGACTCTAATGGGAAGGAATCAAAAGCAAAAAACTTCAGTGAAATGGAATGGTATGGAATGGAATGCACTCAAATGGAATGGAATGGAATTGAATCTAATGGAATCGAAAGGAATGTACTCCAATGGAATTGAATGGAGGGCAGCGGACTCGAATGCAATGGAGTGGAATGGATATGAATGGAATGGATGGAATGGAATGGAATGAAATGGAATGGAATGAAATGGATTGGAATGGAATGGAAGGGAATTGAATGGAATAGAATGGAATGGGAATGAAATGGACTCGAATGAAATGGAAAAGTATGCGCTCGAATGGAATGTAATGGACAAGAATGTATTGTAATGGAATGCACTCGAACGGAATGGAATGCAATGGAATGGACTCAAGTGGAATGGAACAGAATGGACTCGAACGGAATAGAATGGACTTGAATGGAATGGAATTGACAAGAATGGAAAGTAATTGAATGGAATGGAATGGACTGTAATGGAATCGAATGGAAAGTAATGGAATGGAATGGAATGGACTTGAATGGAATAGATTGGAAACGAATGGAATAGACTCGAATGAATTGGAATGGAATGGACACTAATGGAATGGAATTGACTCGCCTGGAATGGAATGAAATGGAATGGACTCAAATGCAGTGGAGTGGAATGGATTCGAATGGAATGGAATGGAATTGACTAGAATGGAATAGAAAGCAATGGACTCGAATGAATTGGAATATAATGGAATGGACCAAAATGGAATGGAGGGGAATGGAATCAAAAGGAATTCGAATGGAATTGAATGGTTACGAATTGAATGTAATGTAATGGAATTGAATGGACTGGAAAGGAATGGAGTGGAATGGATTCGAATGCAATGGAAAGGACTCGAATGGAATGGAATGGACTGGACCCGAATGGAATGGAATGGAATTGAGTGGAATGGAATGGAATGGAATGGAACGGAATGGAATGGAATGGAATGCAATAGAATGGACTGTAATCGATTGGAATTGAATGGAATGGAATGGTCTTGAATGCAGTGGAATGGACTCCAATGGAATGGAATGGAATGAAATGGAATGCACTCGAATGTATTTGAGTGGAATTTACTGGATTGGAATCTAATGTTATGGACTCTAACGGAATGGAATGGAATGGACTTTAATGGAATGGAATGGAATGGACATGAAACGTATGGAATTGAATTTGATGGAATGGAATGTATTGGAATGGAAGGGATTGGAATAGACTGGAATGGAACGGACTGGACTTGAATGGAATAGAATGGAATGGAATGGACACGAATGAAATTGAATGGAAAGTATTCAAATGCAATGCAATGGACTCGAATGTAATGGAATGGAATGGACTCGAACGGAATGGAATGGAATGGACTCAAGTGGGATGGAATGGAATGGACTTGAATGGAATATAATGGAATGGAATGGAACAGAATGGAATGGAATGGAATGTACTTGAATGGAAAAGAATGGAATGGAATGGAATGTACTCGAATGGATTTGAACTGAATGGACATGAATGGAAAGGAATGCAACGGAATGGAATGGAATGCAGAGGAATGGAATGGAAAGTAATGGACTTGAATGCAATAAAATGGAGTGGAAAGGAATGGACTAGAATTAAATGGAATGGAAAAGACTTGAAAGCAATGCAATGGATTCGAATGGAATGTAATGGAATGGAATGGACTCGAATGGAATGGAATGGAATGGACTCACAAGGAATGGAATGGAATAGACTCGAATGGAATATAATGGAAAGGATTGGGCTCGAATGGAATGGAATGCAATGGACACAAATGGAACAGAATCGAGTGAAATGGAATGTACTGGAATGGAATGGACTTGAATGGAATAGATTGCAATGGAAAGGAATCAACTCCAATGAACTGGAATGGAATGGACTTGCATGGAGTGGAATGGACACAAGTGGAATGGAATGGAATGGATTCGAATGGAATGGAATGGACTCGAATGGAAAGGAGTTTAATGGATTCGAATGGAATGGAATGGAATGGAATGGACTGAAGTCGAATGGAATGTAATGGTATGTAATGGACTCGAATGGAATGTAATGGAGTGCAATCAAAGGGACTCGAAATAAATGGAATGCAGTGGAGTCGAATTTAATGCAATGGATTTTGATGGAATGGAATGGACTCAAATGTTACGGAATGGAATTGAATGGACTTGAAAGGAATTGAATGGAATGGAATGCACTCGAAAGGAATGGAACGGACACGAATGGCAGGGAATGGAATGGACTCCAATGGAATGAAATGGTCTCGAAGGGAATGGAATGGAATGAAAACGACTCGAGTGGAATGAAATGGAATGGAATGGAATGGAATGGACTCTAATGGGATAGAATGGAATTGAATGGACACTAATGGAATGGAATGGAATGGAATGGAATGGAATGGAATGGAATGGAATGGAATGTGCTGGAATGAAATGCTGTTGAATTGAATGGATCCGAAAGGAATGGAAAAGAATGGAATGGAATGGAATGAACCTGAATGGGATGGAATGGAATGGAAAGGACTCTAAAGGAATGGAATGGAATGGAATGGAGTGGAATGGACTCGAATTGAATGGAATGGAATGGAAAAGACTGGACCTCAATGGGATGGAATGGAATGGAAATGACACTAATGGAATAGAATGGAATGGACCCAGATGGAATGGAAAGGAATGGACTCGAAAAGAATGGACTTGAATGGAATGGAATGGATTGGAATGGACTCCAATGGAATGCAATGGAATGGAATGGACTCGAATGGCACCGAATGGAATGGAATGGAATGTAGTGGAATACAATGGAATAGACTGGAATGGAATGGAATGGTATGAAATGGAATGGACTTGAATGGAATAGAATTGAATGGATTGGAATGGACTCGAAAGTAATGGAATGTAATGGACTCGAATGGAATATAATGGACACAAATGCATCGGAATGGAATGGAATGTAATGGACTCGAATGGAATACAATGGAATTTAAGTGAATAGACTATATTGGAATGGAATGGAATGGACTCGAATGGAATACAATGGAATTTAAGTGAATAGACTATATTGGAATGGAATGGAATGGACTCGAATGGAATGGAAAGGAATGGCACCGAATGGAATGGAATGGAATGGAATGTAGTGGAATGCAATGGAATAGACTGGAATGGAATGGAATGGTATGAAATGGAATGGACTTGAATGGAATAGAATTGAATGGATTGGAATGGACTCGAAAGTAATGGAATGTAATGGACTCGAATGGAATATAATGGACACAAATGCATCGGAATGGAATGGAATGTAATGGACTCGAATGGAATACAATGGAATTTAAGTGAATAGACTATATTGGAATGGAATGGAATGGTCTCGAATGGAATAGAACGGGATACACTCGAATGTAATAGAATGCAATGGAATGACCTCGAATGGAATGGAATGGAATATACTGGAATGCAATTAAATGGACTCTAATGCAATGCAGTTGAATTGAATGGTTACGAAAGCAACGGAATAGAATGGAATGGAATGGAATCGAATGGAATGGAAAGAAATGGACTCGAGTGGAATGCAATGGAATGGAATAGACTCGAATGGAATGGAGTGGAAAAGAATGGAATGGACTCGATTGGAATGGAATGGAATGGAATGGACTCGAACTGAATGGAATGGAACGGTAGTAAATGGAACGGAATGGAATGGAGTGTTCACAAATGGAACAGAAAGGAATGGAATAGAATGGAATTTACTTGAATGGGATAGAATAGAATGCAATAGACTCGAATTGAATGGAATGGAGTGGAATGGACTCGTATGGAATGGAATTGAATGGACTCTAATGGAATGGAATGGAATGGAGTGGAATGGAATGGAATGGAATGGACTCGAATGGGATGGAATGGAATTGAGCATAATGGAATTGTATGGAACGGACCCGAATGGAATGAAATGGAATGAAATGTACAAGAATTGAATGAAATGGAATGGATTAGTCTCAAATGGAATTGAATGGAATGGAATGGATTCCAATGGAATGGAATGGAATGGAATTCACTCGAACAGAATGGAGTTGAAGGGACTCGAATGGAATGGAATGGAATGGAATTGAATGGACTGGAATATAATGGAATGGAATGAAATGGAATGAACTCTAACAGAATGAAATATAATGGAATGAAATGGACTCGAATGGAATTGAATGGACTCGAATGGAATGGAATGCAATGGCATGGAATGTAATGGAAAGGACTCGAGTGGAATGCAGATGAATTGAATGGACCCGAAATGAATGGAAAGGAATATAATGGAATTTAATGGATTGGAATGGAAATGAATAAAATGGACTTGAAAGGAATGGAAAGGAACGGAACGGAGTCAAATGAAATGCAATGGACCCGAATGAAGTGCAATGGAATGGAATCGACTCGAATGTAATGGAAAGGAATAGACTCGAATGAAATGGAATGCAGTTGAATGGATTGGAATGACATGCAATGGAATGGAATAGACTCAAATGGAATAGGATGGAATGGGATGGAGTGGACTCGAATATAATGGAATGGAATGGAAACGAATGGAATGGAAAGGAATGGAATGGAATGGATTGGAATAGAATGGAATGGAATGGAATGGAATGGACTCAAATGGAATGAAATGGAACGGACTCAAATGGAATTGAATGGAATATACTGGATTGGAACCTAATGGAATGGGCTCTAATGGAATGCAAAGGAATGGAACCGAATGGAATCGAATGGAATGGAATGGATTCGAATGGAATGGAATGGAATGGAATGGATCAGAAACGAATTGAATGGAATGGAATGGACTCGAATAAAATGGAATGGAATGGAGTCAAATAGAATGGAATGGACTCGAATGCAATGGAATGGAATGGACTGTAATGGAATGGAAATAAATGGACTCAAATGCAATACAAAGCAGTTGAATGGATTCAAATGGAATGTAATGGAATGGATACGAATAGAATGGAATGGAATGAAATGGAATGGAAAGGAACAGAATGGACTTGTATGGTATAGAATGAAAAGGAATGGAATGTTGTCAAATGATATGGAATGGAATGCACTTGAATGGAACGGAATGGACTCGAGTGGAATGGAATGGAATGGAATGGACTCGAATGTAATGAAATGGAATGGACTGAAATGCAATGGAATGGAATGTACTCGAATGGAGAGGAATGGACACGAATGAAGTGGAATCGAATGGAATAGAATGGTCACGAATGGAATACAAGGGAATGAAATGGAACGGACTAGAAGGGAATGGAATGCAATGGACTAGAATGGAATAGAATGGAATGAAATCTACAGGAATAGAATGGAATGGAATGGACTCGAATGGAATGCAATGAAATGGACTTGAAAGGAAACGAATGGTATTGAATGGAATGGAATGGATTTGAATGGAATGGAATGAAATGGACTCGAATAGAATGGAATGGAATGGACTCGAATGGAATGGTAAGGAATGGACTCGAATGGAATGGAATGGACTTGAGTGGATTGGAATGGAATGGAAACGACTAGAATGAAATGGAATGGAATGGAATGCACTAGAATGGAATGGAATGGAACGGACTCGACTGGAATTGAAAGTAATGGACTCGAATAGAATGGAATGGAATGGTATGTACTCAAATGCAATGGAGTGAAATGGACTCGAACAGAATTGAAAGGAATTTAATAGACTGAAATCGAATGGAATGTAAAGGTATGGAATGGACTCGTATGGAATGGAATGGAATGGAATCAAATGAACTTAAATGGAATGGAATGCACACGAATGAAATGGAATGGAATGGAATGGATTTAATGGAATGCAATGACATGGACTAGAAAGCAATGAAATGGTATTGAATGGAATAGAATGGAATGGAATGGAATGAAATGGACTCGAATGGAATGGAATGGAATGGAATAGAATGGACTCAAATGGAATGGCATGGAATGGAATGGAATCGAATGGAATGGAATGGAATGGAAAAGACTCGAGAGAAATGGAATGGAATGCAATGGAATGCACTCGAATGGAATGGAATGCAATTGACTCGAATGCAATAGAAAAAATAATGGAATGGAATGGACTCGAATGCAATGGACTGGAATGGACTCGAATGCAATGGAAAGGAATTTGATGCATTCAAATCGAATGGAATGTAACGGTATGGAATGGTCCCGTATGGAATGTAATGGAATGCAATGGAATCAAATGAACACGAATGGAATGGAATGTACAAGAAAGGAATGGAATGAAACCGAATGGAATGGAATGGACTCAAAATGAATGGAATGGAAGTCAATGGACTTGAAATGAATGGAATGGAATGGAATGGAATGAAATGGAATAGAATGGAATCAAATGGAATGGAATGTACTCGAATGGAATGGAATGGAAACGACTCGAGTGGAATGAAATGGAATGGAATGGAATCTAATGGAATGGAATTGAATGTACTCAAATGGAATGGAATGGAATGGCATCGTCTCGAATGGAATGGAATGGAATGGAAT
This sequence comes from Homo sapiens, assembly GCF_000001405.40. NCBI lineage: Eukaryota > Metazoa > Chordata > Mammalia > Primates > Hominidae > Homo > Homo sapiens. The sequence goes on along the minus strand of NT_167211.2, from coordinate 65,300 downwards.
GCATTTGAATAGACTCACAAAAAATGGAATGGAGTTGACACGAATGGAATTGAAAGGAATAGACTGCAATGGAATTAAATGAAATGGAATGGACTCGAAAGAAATGGAATGGAATGGTTTGAATGGAATGGAATGGAATGCAATGGAATGGAATGGAATGGAATGATATCAAATTGAATGACATGGAATGGACTCAAATGGAATGGAATGGAATAGAATGGACTCGAATATAGTGGAATGAAATTGCCTCGAATGGAATGGAATGGATTCGAATGGAATGGAATGGACACGAATGGAACAGAATGGAATGGAATGGAATGGAATGGACTCGAATGGAATGGAATTGAATGAACTCAAATGGAATTGAGTGGAATGGAATCAACTCGAATGCAATGGAATGGAATGCAATCAAATGGAATGTAATGGACTCTAGTTGAATGGAATGGAATGGTATGGTCTCAAATGGAATAGAATGGAATGGAACAGATTCAAAAGGAATAGAATGGAATGGTTTCGAATCTAATGGAGTGGAATGGAATGGACTCGAATGGAAAGGAGTGAAATGGAATGTAACGGAATGGAATTTATTGGACTCGAATGGAATGGAAAGGAACTGAATGGACTCAAAATGATTAGATTGGAATGGCATGGAATGGAATTGAATGGACTCAAAAAGAGTAGATTGGAATGCAATGGAATGGAATGGAATGGAATGGACTAAAGTGGAATAGAAATGAATCGACTCAAATATAATGGAATGGAATAGAATGGACTCTAATGCAATGGAATAGAATGGACTCGAATGGAATGGAAAGGAACTAAATGTAATGGAATCGAATGGAATGGAAAGGACTCGAATGGAATGGAATTGAAAGGAATGGACTCGAATTGAATGGAATGCAATGGAATGGAATGGTATGCATTGGGATGGAATGGTACGGATTAAAATGGAGTTGAATTGAATAGAAAGGGATAGAATGGAATGAATTTAAAAGGAATGGAATGGAGTGAACTACTTTCGAATGGAAAGGCCACGAATTGAATGAAATGGAATGGAACAGACTCGAATGGAATAGATTGGAATTTAGTGGAATGTACTCTATTGGAATGAAATGGAATGCATTCGAACGGAACAGAATTGAATGGAATGGACTCGAATGGAATGCAGTGGAATGGTCCCAAATGGAAAGTAATGGAATGGAATAGACTTCAAAGGAATGTAATATAATTGAATGGAATGGAATTGACTCTAATGGAATGAAATTGAATGGATTCGAATGGAATGGTATGTATTGGCATCGAATGGCATGAAATGAACTGGGTGCAAATGTAATGTAATGTAATGTGAAGGAATGGAATGGAATGGAATGCAATGAAATAGAATGGAATGGAATGGAAAGAAGAGGAATGGAGAGAAATGGAATGGAATGAAATGGAATAGATTTGAATGGAATAGAATGGAAAGGAATTCATTGGAATGGAATGGAATGGAATGGAATGGATTCGAAAGGAATGGAATGGACTTGAAAGGAAAGAAATCAAATGGATTGGGCTCGAATGGAATAGTATGGAATTTACTGTATTGGAATCCAATGGAATGGACTCTAATGGAATGGAATGGACTCCAGTGGAATGGAAGGGAAATATATGCACTCAAATGGAATGGAATGGAATGGAATGGACTTCAATGGAATAGAATGGAATTGAATGGAATGGACTCGAATGAAAAGGAATAGAATGGACACAAATGGAATGGAAGGTACTCAAATGCAATGGAATGAAATGTAATAGACTCAAAAGGAATGGAATGGAATGGATTCGAGGGGAATAGAATGGAATCAGTGGACTCGAGTGGAAAGGAATGGACACGAATGGAATGGAATGGACTCGAATGGAATGGAATGGACTCGAATGGAATGGAATGGAATGGAATGGACTCGAATGGAATGGAATGGATACGAATGGAATGGAATGGAATGGAATAGAATGGAATGGATTTGAAAGGGATGGAATACAGTGGAATGGCTTCGAATGCAATGGAATGGAATCGACTAGACTGGAATGGAATGGAACAGAATGGACACAAATGGAATGGAATGGAATGGACTCCAATAGAATGGAATGGAATGGAATGGAATGGACTCAAATTGAACGGAATGGAATGTACTCGAATGGAGTGGAATGGACACGAATGGAATGGAATCGAATGGAATGGAATGGACTGGAATGGAATACAATGGAATGGAATGGAATGGACTCGAATGGAATGGAATGAAATGGACTAGAATGGAATATAATGGAATGGACTATAATGGAAAGGAATGGACTTGAATGGAATGCAATGAAATGAAATCAGAAGGAAAGGATTGGTATTGAAAGGAATTGAATGGAATGGAACGGAATGGAACGGAATGGAACAGAATGAAATCAATGGAATGGAATGGAATGGAATGGACTCGAGGGGAATAGAATGGAATCAATGGGTTCGAGTAGAATGGAATGCAATGGAATGGACTCGAATGGAATAGAATGGAATGGAATGGGACGCACTCAAATGGAATGGAATGCAATGGACTACAATGGAATACAATGGAATGGACTCTAATGGAATGGAATGGACTCGAATGGAATGCAATGAAATGGACTCAAAAGGAATTGAATGGTATTGAATGGAATGGAATGGAACGGAATGGAATGGAATGGATCGTAATGGAATGGAATGGAATGGAATGGAATAGAATGGACTTGAATGGAATGGCATGGAATGGACTCGAAAGGAATGGAATGGAGTTGAATGGAATGGAATGGAATGGAAACAACTCGAGTGAAATGGAATGGAATGGAATGGAATGCACTGGAATGGAATGGAACTGACTCGAATGGAATAGAATGGAGTGGAATGAAACAGACTCGAATGGAATGGAATGCAATGGACTAGAATGGAATATAATGGAATGGAGTCTAATGGAATGGAAAGGAAAGGAATGGACTCAAATGGAATGCAATGAAATGGACTCAAAAGTAACGGAATGGTATTGAATGGAATGGAATGGATTAGAACGGAATGAAATGGAATGGACTCGAATGGAATGGCATGGAATGGACTCGAATTGAATGGAATGGACTCAAATGGAATGGAATGCAATGGAAACGGCTCGAGTGAAATGGAATGGCAAGGAATGGAATACAATCGAATGTAATGGAATGGAAATGACTTGAATGCAATAGAAAGGAATGGACTCGAATAGAATGGAATTGAATGGAATGGACTCAAATGCAATGGAATGCAATGGACTTGAATCGAATGGAAAGGAATTTAATGAACTTAAATCGAATGGAATATAATGGTATGGAATGGACTCATGGAATGGAATGGAAAGGAATCAAATGGACTCGAATGGATTGGAATGCACACGAATAGAATGGAATGGAATGGAATTGACACAAATGGAATGGAATTGAATGGAATCGAATGGAATTGAATGGAACGGAATTGAAAGGACTCGAGTGGAATGAAATGGAATGGAATGGAATCAAATGGAATGGAATGGAAATGAATGGACTCAAATGGAATGGAATGTGATGGAATGGCATGATCTCGAATGGAATGGAATGGAATGCAATGAATGGATTCAAATGGAATGGAATGGAATGGATTAAAATGGAATTGAATGGAATGGACAGGAATGGAGCTAAATATAATGGAGTGGACTCGAATGAAATGGAATGGAATTAATTCGAAAGGAAAGAATGGAATGGAATCGTTTCGAATCAAATAACATGGAATTTACTCGAATGGAATGGGTTGGGATTGGAGGGTCTTTAATGGAATGGAATGGAATGGAATTGACTAAAATGGAATTGGATGGAATAGAATGGACTCGAATATAATGGAAAGGAATTGGCTCGAATGGAAATGAATGGATTCAAACGGAATAGAATGGAAACGAATGGAATATAATGGAATGGACTCAAATGAAATGGAATGGAATGGACTCTAATGGAACGGAATTGAATGGAATCAAATGAAATAGAGTGCAACGGAATGGATTCGAATGCAATGGAATGGAATGGACTCCAATGGAATGGAATGGACTCTAGGGGAATAGTAAGGAATGGTATTGTCTCAACCGAATGGAATAGAATGGAACGGATTCAAATGGAATAGAATGGAATGGATTCCAATGTAATGGAGTGGAATGGAATGGACTCGAATGGAACGGAGTGTAATGGAATCGAATGGAATGGAATGGAATTTAATGGACTCGAATGGAATTTAATGGAATTGAATGGTCTCAAAAGGAATGGAATGGAATGGACTCGAATGGACTTGAGTGGAATGCAATGGAATGGACTCGAATAGAATTGAAGGGACTCAAATGGCAGAGAATTGAATGGAATCCAATATAGTAAAACGGAATGGAATGGAATGGAATCCATTCAAATGGAATGGAATGGAATCCATTCAAATGGAATGGAATGGAATCCATTCAAATGGAATGGAATGGAATTGAGGCGTATGGAATTGCAATGAAAGGATTCGAATGCTATGAAATAGAGTGGAATGGACTCGAATGTAATGGAGTGGAATGGACGCGAATGGAAAAGAATGGAATGGAGTCGAATGGAATGAATTGCAATGGAATGGACAGGAGTGGAATCAAACGGAGTGGAATGGAATGCAATGGAAGAGTGAAATGGACTCGAATGTAATGGAAGTGAATGGAATGGACACAAATGGAATAGAATGGAATGGAAAATAATGGAATGGAATGGAATGGAATGGTCACGAATGGAATGGAATGGAATGGGATGAAATGGAATGGACTTAAAAGGAATGTAATGGAATTCACACGAATGGAATTGAATGGAATGAACTCGAATGTAATTAATTGTAATAGAATGAACTCTGATGAAATATAATGGAATGGACTCGAATTGAATGGAATAGAATGGATTCGAATGGAATGACATGGAGTGGACACGAATGGAATGAGATGGGATGGAACGGACACGAATAGATTGGAATGGAATGGACTCAAATGGATTAGAATGGAATACGATGGAGTCAAATGTAATGGAATGGAATTGGTTCGAATGGAGTCGAATGGATTCGAATGCAATGGAAAGTACTCGAATGGAATACAATGGAACGGACTTGAATGGAATGGAATGGAATGGACTCAAAGGAATGAAATGGAATGGAATGGACTAGAATGGAATAGAATGGAATGAAATTGAATGGACTCGAATGGAATGGAATGGAATCGGCCAGAATGGAATAGCACGGAATGGAATCGAATGGAAAGGAGTGGAACGGAAGGGACTCGAATTTAATGGAATGCTATGGAATCCAATGGAATGGAATTTACTCGAATGGAACGCAATGGAACAGACACTAATGGAATGGAATGGACTTGAAGGGAATGTAATGGAATGGACTCGAAGCGAACATAAAGGAATGTACTCGAATGGAATGGAATGGACTAGAATGCAATGGAATGGAAATTAATAGAACTGACTCTAACAGAATGGAAGCTAATGGAATGGAATAGAATACATTCGAATGGAATAGAATGGAATGGAAGTTAATGGAATGGAATGCAACGGAATGGACTAGAATGGAATGGAATGGAATTCACTCGAATGTAATAGAGTGTAATGGACCCAAATTGAATGGAATGGACTCAAATGGACTCTAACGGAATGGAATGGATTGGAATGGACTCAAATGTAATGTAATCGAATGGAATGGAATGGACTTGAATGGAATGGAATGGAATCTACACGAATGGAATGGAAAGGAATGGAATGGAATGGAATGGAATAGAAAGGAGTGGAATGGAACGGAATGGAATGGAAGGCAATGGAATTGACTAGAATATAATGTAATGGAATCGACACGTATGGAATGGATTGGAAGTGAACGGACTGCACTGCAATGCAATGGAATGGAATGGAATGGAATGGACTTGAAAGGAATAGAATGGAATGGATTGGAATGTAATAGAATGGAATGGACTAGAATGGAATCCCATGGACGCGAATTGAATGGAGTGGAATGGAATGAAATGGAGTTGAAAGGAATGGAGTGCAAAATGAATGGAATGGACACGAATGGAATGGAATGGAATGGGATGGGATGGAATCGTATGGATTGGAATGGACTACAAGGGAATTGAAAGGGATGAAATGGAATGAATTCAAAAGGAATGGAATGGAATGGACTACAATAGAAAGTAAATGACACGAATGGAATAGAATGGAATGGAAAGGACTCGAATGGAATAGATTGGAATGGACCCTAATGGAATGGTATGTAATGGATTCCAATGGAATAGAATGGAATGGAAGGGACTCGAATGGAATGCAATTGAATGGACACAAATGGAATGTAATGGAATGGAATAGACTCAAAAGGAATGGAATGGAATGGAATTGACTCGAATGGAACAAAATGGAATGGATTCAAATGGAATGGTATATAATGGAATCAAATGGAATGGAATGAACTCGAATGAAATAGAATGGACGCAAATGGAATAGAATGGAATGGAATGGAATGGAAAGGAATGGAATAGAATGGAATGGATTAGAATGGAATGACATGGAGTGGACTCGAATGCAATGTGATCGGATGGACTGGACTAGAATGGAGTGGAACAGAATGGACTCAAATGGAATTGAATGAAATAGAATGGACGCATATGGAATAGAATGGAATGGAATGGAATGGAATGGAATGGAATGGAATGGAATGGAATGGAAATGAATGGAATGGAATGGAATGGAAATGAATGCAATGAAATGGAATGGATTAGAATGGAATGACATGGAGTGGACTCGAATGGAATGTGATGGGATGGAATGGATTCGAATGGAGTGGAATGGAATGGACTCAAATGGAATAGAATGGAGACAAATATAATGGAATGGAATTTGCACAAATGGAATCGAATGGACTCAAATGGAATGGAAAGTAGTCAAATGGAATACAATGGAACGGACTCGAATGGAATTGAATGGAATGGAATGGACTTGAAAGGAATGAAATGGAATGGAATGGACTCGAATGGAATAGAATGGAATGAAATGGAATGAACTTGAATGTAATGGAATGGAATGGGCCAGAATGGAATAGCATGGAATGCAAATGAATGCAATGGAGTGGAATGGAATGGACTCAAATGGCATGTATAGTAACAGAATGGAACGGACTTGCATGGAATGGAATGGAATGGAATGGAAAGGAATGGACTCAAATGGAAGGTAATGGAATGGATTAGATTCAAATGGAATAGAATGGAATGGAATGGACTCGAATGGAATGCAATTGAATTGAATGCAATCGAACGGAACGGAAAGGATTGGAATGGAATGGATTGGACTACAATGGAACGGAATCAAATTAAATTAAATGGAATGGCTCGAATGGAATGGAATGGTATGAACTCGAATATAACAGAGTGGAATGGAATAGACTCAAATGGAATGGAATGGACTTGAATGGAATGGATTGGACTTGAATGGAATGGAATGGACCAAAATGGAATAGAATGGAATGGAATGCAATGGACTCTACTGGAATGAAATGTAATGTAATGGAATGGAATGGAATGGAACGGAATGGAATGGAATGGAATCAACTCGAATGGAATGCAATGGAAAGGAATGGACTCAAATGGAATGGAATGAACTCGAATGGAATGGAATGCAATTTAATGAATGGAATCTAATGGAATGGACTCGAGTGGAACAGAATGGAATGGATTCGAATGGAGTGGAATATAATGGAATAGCCATGAATGGAATGGAATGGAATGGGCTCAAATGGAAAGGCATAGAATGGACTCGAATGGAATGGAATAGAATGGAGACGAAATGAATAGAATGGAATTCAAAGGAATGGACTCGACTGGAATAGAATGGAATGTACGTGAATGTAACTAAATGGAACAGAATGGAATGGAATGGAATGGAATGGACCCGAGTTGAATGGAATGGAATGGAATGCAATAGAGTGGAATGGATTGGAATGGAATGGAATGGACTTGAATGGAATATTATGGTAAGGAATGGAATTGACTCGAAGGGCATGTAATGGAATGGATTCTAATTGCGTAGAATGGCCTCTAATAGAGTGGAATGGAATTTATTGCAATGGACGCTAATGGAATGGAATTTAATGGACCCTAACGGATTAGAATGGTATGGACTCGAGTGGAATGGAAAGGAATCGAATGAACTCAAAATGAATGGAATGGAATGGAATCGAATGGAATGGACTTGAATGGAACGGAACGGACTCGATTGGAGTGGCATGGACTCGAATGGAATGGAATGGAAATGAAACGACTCGACTGGAATGAAATGGAATGGAACGGACTTGAATGGAATGAAAAGGAATGTACTTGAATGGAATGGAATGAAACGGAATGAATCCAAAAGGAACAGAATGGAATGGAATAGAGCGGAATGGACTCGAATGGAATAGAATGCAATGGACTGAAATCGAGTGGAATGGAATGGATTGGAATGGAATGGAATGGCCACGAATGGAATGGAATGGACCTGAATGGAATGGAAGGGAATAGAATTCATAGGAATGGAATGCAATAGTATGTAATGAAAAGGATGGAATGGAATAAAATGTATTGGGAAGGAATGTACTAGAAACGAATGGGATGGAATGGACTCGAATGGAATGGAATGGACACGAATGGAATGGAATGGAGAGGAATATAATGTAATTTTATAGAATGGAATCCAATGGAATGCAATGGAATGGAGTCGAAAGTAATGGAATGGAATTGAATGGACTCGAAAAGAATAGAATGGAATGCAATGGTATGTACTCGAATTTAATGGAATGTAATGGACTCCAATGGAATGGACTCGAATGGAATCAAATGGAATTGACTAGAATGGAATTGACAGGAATGGACACAAATGGAATGGAATGGAATGGACTCAAATAGAATGGAATGGAGTGGAATGGACTCGAATGGAATGGAATTGAATGGAACACACTCAAAAGGAATGGAATGGAATGGATTCGAATGGAAGAGAAAGAAATCCTATGGAATGGAAATGTATGAAATTAACTCGAGGGTAATGGAATGTACTGGAATGGAATGGACTCGAATGAAAAGGAATGGAATAGACTCGAATATAATGGAATGGAATTAAGTGGAACGGAATATAATGGAATGGAGAGGAAGAGAATGGAAGGGAAGACAATGGAATGAAATGGAATGGAATGGAATGAAACGGAAAAATTGACTGAATGGATAAGAAAGGAATGGACTCGAATGGAATGGAATGGAATTCAATAGACTCGAATAGAATGGAATATTATGGTATGGAAAAGACCCGAATGGAATGGAAAGTTTGGAATGAAATTTACTCGAATGGAATGGAATGGAATGGAAAGGACTCAAATGGAATGGAATGGAAAGGGATTGAATGGACTCGAATGGAATGGATTGGAATTGATTGGACCAGAAAGGAATGGCATGGATTGGAGTGGAATGGAATATAATGGAGTCGAACAGAATGGAGAGGAATGAAGTCGAATGGAATGGAATGGAAACGAATGGAATGAAATAGAATGGAAACTAGTCAAGTGGAAAAGAAAGGAATGGAATGGACTCGAATGGAATGGAATGGAATGGACCCCAATGGAAAACAATAAAGTGGAATAGAACCGACTCCAATGGAATGGAATGGAATGTACTGGAATTGAAAAGAATGAAAAGGAATGAAATGGACTCGAATGGAATGGAATGAAATGTTCTCGAATGGAATTGAATGGAATGGAAAGAATGGTAATCAATGGAATGGACTTGAATGAAATGAAATTGAATGGAATGGAAAGGAATGGAATTGAATGGAAAGGACCCGAATTGAAAACAATGGAATTTAATGGAATGGACTCTAAAGGAATGGAATGAAAAGTACTCCAATGGATTAGAATGGAATGGGCTCGAATGGAAAGGAATATAACGAAGTGGACACGAATAGACTCGAATGGAATGGCCTCAAAGGGAATGGAATAGAATTGAATGGGCTCAAAAGAAATGCAATGGTATGCAATGGAATGGAATCAAATGGAACGGAAAGGAATGGACGCAAAAGAATAGAATGTAATGGAGTGGACTTGAAAGGAATGGAATGGAATAGACTCGAATGGAATTGAATGGAATGGAAAGGACACAAATGGAATAGAATAGAATGGAATGGACTCGAATTGAATGGAAAGGAATGGACTGCAATAGAATGGAATGGACATGAATGCAATGGAATAGAATGGACTCGAATGGAAGACAATGGAATGAAATGGAATGGACTCGAATGGAATAGAAAGGAATGGAATCAAATGGAATGGATTGGAATGAAAAGAACTCGAATGGGTTGAAATGGAATGTACTCGAATGGAATGGAAACGAATTGACTCAAATGGAATAGAATGGAATGGAATGGACTCGAATGAAATGCATTGGAATGGACTCAAATGGAATGGAATGGAATTGAATGTAATGGGCGTGAATGGAATGCAATGGAAAGGACTCAAATGGAATGGACTTGAATGGAACAGAATGGAATGGAATGGACATGAATGGAATGGAATCGAAAGGAATGGAATGCCATTGAAAGGATTCAAATGGAATTAAATGTAACGGATTGGAATGGACTAGAATGGAATATAATGTAATGGAATGAAATGTAATGTAATGGAATGGAATGGAAAAGAATGGATTCGCATGGAATGAAATGGAATGGAATGGCCTTGAATGGAATGCAATTGAAATGAATGGACTCGAAAGGAATGGAAGTGTTTGGAATGGAATGGAATTGACTCGAATGGAATGGACAAAAATGGAATGGAATGGAATGGAATGGCCTTGAATGGAATGCAATTGAAATGAATGGACTCGAAAGGAATTGAAGTGTTTGGAATGGAATGGAATTGACTCGAACGGAACGGACACAAATGGAATGGAATGGAATGGACTCAGACTCGAATGGAATGGAATGGAATGGAATGGAATGGAATGGAATGGAATCAAATGGAAGGAAATGGAATAGAATGGAATCAAATGGAAGGAAATGGAATGGAATGGACTCAAAAGAATGGAATGGAAGTGAATGGACTTGAATGAAATTTAATGGACCCACATGGAATGGAATGGAATGGACTCGAATAGAATGGAGTGGATCCCAATGGAATAGAATGGAATGGAATGGAGTGGACTCAAATGGAATGGAATGGAATAGAATAGAATGCAATCATTTAGAATGGTTTGGAATGGAATGGAATGGACTCGAATGGAATGGAATGAACATCAATAGTATGGAAAGGAATGGACTCTAATAGAATGGAATCGAATTTAATGAATGGACTTTAATGGAATGGAATGGAGAGTACTGGAATGGAATAGAATGGAATGGATTGGAATAGAATGGAACATATAGGTATGGACTCGATTGGAATGTTATGGGATGGACTCGATTGGAATGCAGTGGAATGGACTCGAAGATAATGGAATGGAATGTACTCGAATGAAATTAAATGTACCTGAAAGGAATGGAATGGAAGGGAAACAAATTAAATGGAACGGAATGGAATGCAATGGAATGGAATGCAATGAAATGGAACGGAATGGAACCAAATTAAATGGAACGGAATGGAATGCAATGGAATGGAATGCAATGAAATGGAATGGACACATATGGAACACATTGGAATGAAATGCAGTTGACTCGAATGGAATGGAATGGACACGAAAGGAACAGAATGGAATGGAATTGAAAGGAATGTATTGGAATAAAATGGAATCGAATAGGTTGAAATACCATAGGTTCGAATTGAATGGAATGGGAGGGACACCAATGGAATTGAGTGGCATGGAATGCACAAAAATGGAATGGAATGGAATCGACTCGAATGGAATGGAAAGGAATTGAATGGAATGGACTCGATTGGAATGGAATGGAATGGAATTGCAAAGACTCGGATGGAATAGAATGTAATGCAAAGAACTGGACTCGAATGGAATGGAATGAGATGGAATGGAATGGAATTGAATGCAATGTAATGCAAAGAAATGGACTCGAAAGGAATGGAATGGAATGGAAAGGAATGGAATCAAATCGAATGGAACGCAATTGAATTGAAGTGACTCGAAAGGAATTGAGTGGATTGGAATGGAATGGAATGGACTCGAATGTAATGGACTCGAATGGAATGGAACGGAATGGACTCAAAGGGAATTGAATGGACTCGAATGGAATGGAATGGAGTGGACTCGGTTGGAATGGAATTGAATGGAATGTACTCGACTATAATGGAGTGCAATGTACTCCAATGGAATGGAATGGAGCGGACTCGAATGGAATGGAATGGGCTCCAATAGAATGGAATGAAATATTACCAAATTGAATGGAATGCACTGGAATGGAATGGAATATAATCGACTCGAATGGAAACGAACGGTATGGAATGGACTCGAATGGAATGGAATTGAAAGGACTCGATTGGAATTCAATGGACACGAGTGGAATGGAATTTAATGGAATGGACTCAACAGGAATGCAATAGAATTTAAGGAATAGACTCTAATGGAATGGATCGGATTGGACTAGAATTGTATCCAATTGAAAGGATTCGAATGGAATGGAATATAATGGAATGGAATTGACTGGAAAGGAATGGAATGGACTCGAATTGAATGGAATGGAATGGACTTGAATGTAATGGAATGGAATTGGACACGAAAGGAAAGGAATGTAATGGAATAAAATGGAATCGAATGGAATGGATTGGAGTGGAATAGAATGGAATGGAATGGACTCAAACGGAATGCAGTTAAATTGAATGGATTCAAAAGGAATGTAATGGAATGGAATGTATTGTAATGTAATGGAATGGAATGAAATGGAATGGAATGGACTCGAATGGAAGGGAATGGACTGAAAGGAATTTAACGTAATGGAATGGATTTTAATGGAATGGAATGGAATGGACTCGAATGGAATGGAATGGAGTCGAATGGAATAAAATATTCGGGAACGGAATGGAAAGGAATGAAATTTACTCAAATGAAATGGAATAGAATGGAATGGACTTGAATGGAAAGGAATGGAATGGAATGGACTCCAATGGAACAGAATGGAATGGACCCGAATGGAATGAAATGGATTTGAGTGGAATGGACTCGAATAGAAAGCAGTGGAATTGAATGGAATGGAATGGAATGGAATGGAATGGAATGGAATGGAATGGAATTGAATGGACGTGAATCATACGGAACGTAATGTTATGGAATGGACTCAAATGGAATGGATTGCAATGGAATGAAATGGAGGGGAATGGAATGAACTGGAATCGAATGTGTTGGAATGGAATGGAATAGAATGGAATGGAATGGACTGGAATTTACTTGAAATGAATGGCATGAAAACGAATGGACTCAAAAGGTAGGTAACGGAATGGACTCGAATGGAATGGAATGGAATGGACGGGAATGGAATGGAATGGAATGGACTGGAATGGAATGGAATGGAATGGACACGAATGGAATTGAAAGGAATGGAAAGGACTTCAATGGAATGGAATGGACCTGAAAGGAATAGAATGGAATGGAATGGAATGGAATGAAATGGACTGTACTTGAATGAAATACAGCGGAGTGGAATGGACTTGAACGGAATGGAATAGAATGGACCCGAATGAAATGGAATGGAAAGGAATGGACTCAAATGGAATGGAATGGAATTGAATGGAATGGAATGGACTCGAACGGAATACAATGGAATTTAATGGAATGGACTCTAATGGAATGTAATGGTACAGAATAGAATGGAATAAAATGGACTGGACTCGAATGGAATGAAAGCAATGGAAGAGACTCGAGTGGAATGAAAGCAATGGAAGGGACTCGAGTGAAATGAAATGGAAGGGAATGGTATGGACAGGAATGGAATGGAATGGACTCGAAAGTAATGGAATGGAATGCACCTGAAAGGTATGGAATGGAATGGAATGGAATGGAATGGAATGGAATGGAATAGACTACAATGTAATAGAATGGAATGGAATGGAATAGACTACAATGTAATAGAATGGAATGGAATGGAATGGACTGGAACGGAATCGAATGGAATTGTCTCGAATGAAATGGAATGGTATGGACCCGAATGGAAAATAATGGAATGGAGTCGAATGGAATGGAGTGGAATGGAAGTAAGTGGACTCGAATGCAATGGAATGTAACGGAATAGAAAGGACTTGAATGAAATGGAATGGAGTGGAATGGAATGGACACAAACGGAATAAAATTGAATTGAATGGTCTCGAAAGGAATGGAAGGGAATGGAATGGATTTGAAAGGAGTGGAATGGAATGGAATGAACACGAATACAATGGAATGGACTCAGATGGAATGCAATGGTCTTGAACGGAATGGAATGGAATGGAATTGAGTGTAACGGAACGGAACGGAATGGAATGGAATGGACTCGAATGGAATGGAATGGACTCGAATGGAAAAGAATGGAATGGACTCGACTGGAATGGAATGGAATGGAATGGAATGGAATGGAATGAAATGAAATGGATTGGACGCAATTGGAATGGAATGGAATGGACATGAATGGAATGGAACGAATTCGAATTGAATGGAATCGAGTCGAATAAAATGGAATGGAATGGAATGCACTCGAATGGACTAGAGTGAAATGAACTCGAAAGTGTGGAATGGAATAGCAACTCCAGTGGAGTGTAATGTAATGTAATGAAACGGAAACGAATGGAATGGAATGGAATGGAATGGAATGGAGTTGAATGTAAAGGAATTGAATGGACTCGAATGGAATGGAAATGAATTGAATAGGCTCGAATCGAATGTAATGAATTAGGATGGAGTGGACTCAAATGGAAAGGAATGTAATGGAATTAAATTGACATTAATGGAATGGAATGGACTCAGATGGAATGAAATGCAATTGAATGGACACGAAAGTAATGGAATGGAATGGAATGAAATGGAATGGACTCGAATGGAATGGAAAGGAATGGACTGGGCCCAAATAGAAAGGAATGGAATGGAAAGGAATGGAACGGAATAGAATGGACTGGAATTTAAAGAGTTTGGACTGGAATGGAATGGAATGGAATGGAATGGAATGAAATGGAATTTACTCGAATGGGATGCAAAGGAATGCAATTTACTCGAATCGAATGGAATGGAATGGACTGAAATGGAGTAGCATGGAATGGAATGGACTCGAATGCAATGGAATGGGATGGACTCGAATGGAACGGAATGTACTTGAATGGAGTGGAGTCGAATGGATTCAAATGGAATGCAATGGAATGGAACCGAATGGAATGTACTCGAATGGAAAGGAATGGAATGGAATGAAACGGAATTGAACGGACCGGAACGGAACTGAATGTAATGGAATTTACACAAATGGGATGGAATATAATGGAATTTACTCGAATGGAATAGAATGGAATGGAATGGACTGAAATGGAATAGCATGGAACGGAATGGACTCGAATGCAATGGAATGGAATGGAACCGAATAGAACGGAAAGGACTCGAATGCAGTGGAGTTGAATGGGCTCGAATGGAATGCAATGGAATGGAACCGAATGCAAAGTCCTCGAAAGGAATGGAATTGAATGGAATGGAGCAGAACGGAATGGAACGGAACAGAACGGATTGGAAAGGACTTTGGAATGGAATGGAATGGAATGGAATGGAATGGAACGGAATGGACTCGAATGATATGCAATGGAATGGACTCGAATGAATTAGAATGGATTCTAGTTGAATGGAATGGAGTAGAATGGACTCCAACAGAAAGGAGTGGAATGGATTCGAATGGAATGGAAGGGAATTGAATGAACTTGAATAAAACGGAATGTAATGGCATGGAATGGACACGAATAGATTGGAATGGAATGAAATGGACTCGAATGGAATGGAAAGGAATGGACTCGAATGGAATTGAATGGATGGTAATGGAATGGTATGGAATGGGATATACTCGAATTGTATGGAATGGAATTGAATGGACTAGAAAAGAATGGAATGGAATGGACTCAAATGGAATGGAATGGAACGAACTCCAACGGAATGGAATGGACTCGAAAAGAATGGAATGGAATGGAAAGGACTTGACTGGAATGGAATTGAATAGAATGGCCTCGAAAGGGATGGAATGGAATGGAATGGACTCGAATGGAATTGAATTGAATGGAACCGAAAGGAATGGAATGGAATAGAATGGAATGGACCCGAATGGAATGCAATGGAATGGAATGGAATCGAATGGAATGGAATGGAATGGAATCGAATGGGATGGAATGTATTGGAAAGGACTCGAATGGAATGGATAGGAATGGACCAGAATGGAATGGAATGGAATGGACTCGAGTGTAATGGGATGGAATGTATTGGAATGAAAAGGAATGGAAAGGACTCGAAAGGAATGGAAAGGAATGGAAAGAAATGGACCAGAATGGAATGGTATGGTATGGAATCGAATGTATTTGAATGGACTACAATGAATGGAATGGAATGGACTCAAATGGATTGGAATGGAATGGACTCGAATGGAATGGAATGGACATGAAGGGAACGGAATATAATGGAATGAACTCGAATGGAATAAAATGGAATTTAATGGAATGGTCTCAAATGGAATGGAATGCAATGGACGTGAATGGAATAGAATGAAAGAGACTCGAAAGAAATCGAATGCAATGGAATGGACTCAAATGGAATGGAATGGAATTGACACAAATGGAATGGAATGGAATTGAATAGATATGAAAGGATTGGGATGGAATACAGTGGAAAGGACTCGAATAGAATGGAATGGAATGGACTCGAATGCAATGGATTGCAATGGAATTGACTCAAATGGAATGGAATGGAATTGACTCGAATAGAATTGAATGGAATGGAACTGAATGGAGTGGAATGCAATGGAATGGAATGGAGTGGGACGGAATGGAATGGACAGGGCTTAAATGGAATGGAATGGAAAAGAATGGAATTTAATAGAATGGACTATAATATAATGACTTTGGAATGGACTGCAATGGAATGTAAAGGAATGGAATTTACGCAAATGGGATGGAATGGAATGGAATTTACTCGAATGGAATGGAATGGAATGCACTGAAATTTAATAGAATGGAATGGAATGGACTCGAAAGCAATGAAATGGAAAGGACTCGAATGGAACGGAATAGATTCGAGTGGAGTGGAGTCAAGTGGACTCGAATGGAATGCCATGCAATGGAACTGAAAGGAATGTACTCGAATGGAATGGAACGGAATGGAATTTTACATAATGGAAAGGAACGGAAAGGAACGGACTCGAATGGAGTGGAGTCGAATGGAATGCAATGGAATGGAACTGAAAGGAATGTACTCGAATGGAATGGAGTGGAATGGAATGGAATGGAATGGAATGTATTGGTATGGTATGGAATGGATGGAATGGACTCGAATGGAAAGGAATGGAATAGGATGGAATGGAATGGAATGGAATGAAATGGAATGGAATGGACTCGACTGGAAAGGAATGGAATGGAATGGACTAGGCTAAAATGGAATTGAATGGAATGGAATGGAATGGAATGGAATGGAATGGACTCGACTGGAAAGGAATGGAATGGAATGGACTAGGCTCAAATGGAATTGAATGGAATGGAATGGAATGGAATGGAATGGACTGGAATGTAATGAGTTTAAAATGGACTGGAGAGGAATGGAATGCAATGGAATGGAATGGAATGGAATTTACTCTAATGGGATGGAATGGATTGGAATTTACTCGAATGGAATGGAATGGAACTGAATGGAATGGAATGGACTCGAATGATATGCAATGAAATGGACTCAAATGAACTGGAATGCACTCTAGTTGAATGGAATGGAATAGAATGGACTCCAGTGGAAAGGAGAGGAATGGATTCGAATGGAATGCAATGGAATTGAATGGATTTGAATAGATCGGAATATAATGGTACAGAATGGACACGAATGGAATGGAATGAAATGGACTCCAATGGAACGGAATGGAATGGAATCTAATGGAATGGTATGGATTGGAATAGAATGGAATGCTATCAAATTTTATGGAACAGGAATGAATGGACTCAAAAGGAATGAAATGGAATGGAATGGACTCGAATGGAATATAATGGAATGAACTCCAACGGAATGGAATGGACTTGAAAAGAATGGAATGGAATGGAAGGGACTCGACTGGAATGGAATAGAATACAAAGGCCTCAAATGGGATGGAATGGAATCGAAAGGACTCGAATGGAATGGAATGGAATGGAACCGAAAGGAATGGAAAGGAATGGAATGGAATGGACCCGAATGGAATGGATAGGGATGCAATGGAATCAAATGTGTGGAATGTATTGGAATGAATTCGAATGGAATGGATAGGAATGGACCAGAATACAATGGAAATGAATATTGTCGAGTGGAAAGGAATGGAATATCATGGACTCGAATGGAATGGAATAGATTCGAATAGAATGGAAAGAAATGGACCAGAATGGGATGCAATGGAATGGAATGGAATGGAATGGAATGGAATGGAATGGAATGGTATGGTATGGTATGGAATGGAATGGATTTGAATGAATAGATTTGAAAGAACTGGAATGGACTCGAATGGAATGGAATGGACATGAATGGAAAGGAATGGTATGGAAAGAACTCGAATGGAATGCAATGAAATTTAATGGAATGGACTCTAATGGAATGGAATGGAATGTACTTGAATGGAATAGAATGGAAGATGCTCGAATGGAATGGAATGGAATGGAATTGACTCGAGTATAATGGAATCCATTCGAAAGGAATATTATGTAATGGACCTGAATGGCATGGAGATAATGGAGTGGAATGGAATAGAATGGAATGGAGAGGAGTTGAATAGAGTGAAATGAAATGGACTCAAATGGAATAGAATGGTATTGAATGGAATGCAATGGAATGGAATGGAAAGGAAGGGAATGGAATGTAATTGAATGGAGTTGAATGGAAGGAATGGAATCAAAAGGAATGGAATGGAATGGCACCGAAGGGATTGGAATGGAATGGAATGGAGTGGAATGCAATAGAATTTAATGGAATGGACCCGCATGGAATGCAATGGAATGGAATGGACTCGAATGGAATGGAATGGAATGGACTCGAATGGAATGCAATGGAATGGAATGGAATGGAAAAGAAAGGAATGTAATGGAATGTAATGGAATGAGTTTGGAATGGAGTGGAATGGAATGGAATGGAATGGGCCCAAAAGAAATGGAATGGAATGGAATGGAATGGAATGGAATGGAAAAGAATGAAATGGAATAGAATCGACTGGAATGTAATGAGTTTGGAATGGAATGCAATGGAATGGAATGGAATGGAATTTACTCAAATGGAATGGAATGGAATGGAATTTACTTGAATGGAATGGAATGGAAAGGACTGAAATGTAACTGCATGAAATGGAACGGAGTTGACTTGAACGGAATAGAATTAAGGAGACTCGAATGGAATGAAATGGTATGAAATGGACTCAAATGGAATGGAATGGAATTGAATCAAGTGGAATGGAATGGAATTGAATGGACTCGAAAATATTGGGATGGAATACGCTGGAATGGACTCGAATGAAATGGAATGGAACGGAATGGAATGCACTCGAATGCAATGGAATGCAACAGAATGGACTCAAATAGAATGGAATGAAATTGACTCGAATGGAATTGAATGGAATGGAATGGAATCGTGTTGTATGGAATGGAATGGATTTGAATGGAATAGAATGAATGGAATGGAATGGACTGGAAAGGAGTGGAATGGAATGGACTCAAAAGGAATGGAATGGACTCGAACGGAATGGAAAGGAATGGACCCGAACGGAATGGAAAGGAATGGAATGGAATGGTATGGTATGGAATGGAATGGATTTGAATGCAATAGAATGAAGGGAATTTAATGGACTTCAAAGGATTCGAATTTAATAGAGTGGAATGAACTCCAATGGAATGGACTTTAATGCAACGGAGTGAAATGGAATGGACTCAAATGGAATGCAATGGAATTGATGCTAATGGAAATGAATGGAATAATACCGAATGGAAAGGAATGGAATGGAATGGAAAAGAATGTAATGGAATAGAATAGACTGGAATACAATGTGTTTGGAATGGACTCGACTGGAATTGAATGGAATTGAATTGAATGGACTCAAACGGAATAGCATGGAATGGAATGGACTCAAACGCAATGGAATGGAATGCATTTGAATGGATTGGAACGGACTCGAATGGAATGGATTTGAATGGAATCGTATGGAATGGAATGGCATTGAATGGACTCGAATGGAATGGAATGTAACGGGATGGAATGAACCCGAATGGAAAGGAACGTAATGGAATCAAATGTACTGGAATGGAAAGGAATGGAATGAAGGGAATTGAATGGAATGGCATGGAATTTACTCGAATGGGATGGAATGGAAAGGAATTTACTCGAATGAAATGCAATGGAATGGACTGAAATGGAAAAGCATGGAATGGAATGGACTCGATGCAACGGAATGGAATGGACTCGAATGGAACGGAAAGGACTCGAATGGAGTGGAGTCAAATGGACTCGAATGGAAAGCAGTGGAATGGAACCATATGGAATGTACTCCAATGCAGTGGAACGGAACGGAAAGGAATGGAATGGAATGTACTTGAATTGTATGGAACGGAATTGAATCAACTCAAAAGGAATGGAATGGAATGGAATAGAATGGCCTCGAAAGGGATACAATGGAATGGACCATAATGAAATGGAATGCAAAGAAATGGACTCAAATGGAATGGAATGGAATTGATTCGAATGGAATTGAATGGAATAGAATCGAATGGAAAGGAATGGAATGGACTCGAATGGAATGGAATGGAATGGCCTCGAGTGGAATGGAATGGAAGGGAATGGAATGGGCTCAAATGGAATAGAATGCAATGGAATGGAAAATAATGTAATAGCATATAACAGACTGGAATGTAATGAGTTTGGAATGGACTGGACTGGAATGGAATGGAATGGAATGGACTCAAATGGAATAGCATGGAACGGAATGGACTCAAATGCAATGGAATGGAATGCACTCGAATGGAATGGAATGGACTCGAATGGAATGGATTTCAATGGACACGTATGGAATTGAATGGCATTGAACGGACTTGAATGGAATGGAATGTAACGTAATGGAATGAACCAGAATGGAATGGAACGTAATGGAATGATATGTTTTGAAATGGAAAGGAATGGAATGAATGGAATGGAATGGAATTTACTCGAATGTGATGGAATAGAATGGAATTTAATCAAATGGAATTGAATGAAATGGAATGAAATGGAATAGCATGGAATGGAATAGACACGAATGCCAAGGAATGGAATGGACTCGAATGGAATGGAATGGACTCATATGGAGAGGAGTCGAATGGACTCGAATGGAATGCAATGGAATGCAACCAAATGGAATGTACTCGAATGGAATGGAACGGAACGGAACGGAATGGAAAGGAGTTGAATGGGAAGGAAAGGAATAGACTAACTAGAATGGAATGGAATGTAATGAACTCCAATGGAATGGAATGGACTCTAATGGAATGGAATTGAAAAGACTCGACTGGAATGTAAAGGATTCGAATGGTCTCGAATGGTGTGGAATGGAATGGAATGGACTCGAATGCAATGGAATCTAATGGAACAGAAAGGCATGGAATGGAATGGAAAGGAATGGACCCGAAAGCAATGGAATGCAATGGAATCGAATGGTATGGAATTTATTGTAATGGACTCGAATGAAATGGATAGGAATGGACTCGATTGGAATGGATTGGAAATGTCTCGAGTGGAATGGAATGGAATGTCATGGACTCGAAAGGATTGGAATGGACTCGAATGGAATGCAAAGGATTGGACCTGAATGGAATGGAATGGAATGGAATGGTATGGCATGGAATTCAATGGATTTGAAAGGAAAAGAATGAATGGAATGGAATGGACATAAAAGGATTGGAATGGAATGGACTCAAATGGAATGCAAAGTACATGAATGGAACAGAATGGAGTGGAGTACACTCGAATGGAATACAATGGAATTTAATGGAATGGACTCTAATGGAAAGGAATGTAATGGAATAGAATGCAATGGAATGCAATGGAATGGAATCAAATGAAATGGAATTGAATGGACTTGAATGTAATAGAATGGAAGAGACTTGAATGGAATGGAATGCAATGGAATGGACATAAATGGAATTGAAAGGATTTGACTCAAATGGAATGGTTTGGAATTGATTGGAATTGAAAACATAGGGAAGGAATACAGTAGAATGAACTCGAATGGAATGGTATGGAATGGACTGGACTGGAATGGAATGGAATGGACCCGAATGGAATGGAATGCAATGGACTGGGATCAAATGGAATGGAATGGAATGGAATGGGAAAGAATGGAATGGAATACAATGGACTGGAATGTAATAAGTTTGGAATGGACTGAAATGGAATGGAATGGCTTGGAATGGAATGGAATGGACTCAAATTGAATAGCATGGAAAGGAAAAGACTCAAATGCAATGGAATGGAATGGACTCGAATGCAATGTAATGGACTCGAATTTAATGGATTTGAATGGGCACATATGGAATGGAATGGCATTTAATGGACTCGAATGGAATGGAACGTAATGGAATGGAATGAATCCGAATGGAATGGAATGGAATGGGGTGAAATGTGCTGGGATGGGATGGAATGGAATGGAATGGAATGGAATGGAATGGAATGGAATGGGATGGAATGGAATGGAATGGAATGGAAAGGAATGGATAGAAATGGAATTTACTCGAATGGGATGCAATGGAATGGAATTTACTCAAATGGAATGGAATGGTATGGACTAAAATGCAATAGCATGGAATGGAATGGACTCGAATGCATTAGAATGGAATGGACTCGAATGGAACGGAATGGACTCGAATGGAGTGGAGTCGAATGGACCTGAATGGAATGCAATGGAATGTAACCGAATGGAATGTACTCAAATGGAATGGAACGGAATGGAATGGAAAGGAAAGGATTGGAACGAAACGGAATGGAAGGGAATGGATTTGAATGGAATGGAATGGAATTCAATGGACTCAAAAGGAGTGGAATAGAATGGAAAGTACTCGAATGGAATGGAATGGAATGAACTCCAATGGAATGGAATGGACTCGAATAGAATGGAATGGAATGGAAACGACTCGACTGGAATGAAATGGAATAGAATGGCCTCGAATTGGATGGAATGGAAAGGAATGGACTCGAATGGAATAGAATGGAATGGAATGCAATGGAATCGAATGTGATGGAATGTATTGGAATGGACTCGAATGGAATGGATTGCAAAGGACCCAAATGGAATGGAATGGAATGGTCTCCAATGGAATGCAACGGAATGTATTGGAATTGAATGCAATGGAATCGAATGGGATGGAATGTATTGGAATGGACTCGAATGGAATGGATAGGAATTGACCCGAAAGGAATGAAATGGAATGGTCTCGAGTGGAATGGAATGGAATGGAATGGAATGGAATGGAATGGAATGGACTCGAATGGAATGGAATGGACTCGAATGGAATGCAAAGGAATGGACCTGAATGGAATAGAATGGAATGTTATGGTATGGAATTTAAAGGATTTAAATGGAATATAATGAATGGAATGGAATGGACACGAAAGGATTGGGATGGAATGGACTCAAATGGAATGCAATGGACATGAATGGAACAGAATCGAGTGGAATGTTCTCGAATGGAATACAATGGAATTTAATGGAATGGACACTAATGGAATGGAATGTAATGGACTTGAATGCAATGGAATGCAATGGAATGGTATCTAATGAAATGGAATGGAATGGACTTGAATGGAATAGAATGGAAGAGACTCGAATGGAATGGAATGCAATGGAATGGACTTAAATTGAATTGAATGGAATTGACTCAAACGGAATGGTTTGGAATTGAATGGAATTGAAAAGATAGGGTTGGAATACAGTGGAATGAACTCGAATGGAATGGAATGGAATGGTATGGAAAGGAATGGAATGAAATGGAATGGAATGGAATGGATTGGAATGGACTCGAATGGAATGGAATGGAATAGACTCGAATGGAATGGAATGGAATGGAATGGAATGGGTTCAAATGGAATGGAATGCAATGGAGCGGAAAATAATGGAAAGGAAGAGAATGGACTGGAATGTAATAAGTTTGGAATGGGCTGAAAAGGAATGGAATGGCATAGAATGGAATGGAATGCACTAAAATGGAATAGCATGGAATGGAAAGTACTTAAATGCAATGGAATGAAATGGACTTGAATGGAATGGAATGGAATAGATTCGAATTTAATGGATTTGAAAGGACACGTTTGGAATGGAATGGAATTGAATGGACTCGAATGGAATGGAATGTAACGGAATGGAATGAACACGAATAGAATGGAACGGAATAGAATGAAATGTGCTGGAATGGAATGGAATGAATGGAAGGGAATGGAATGGAATGGAATGGAATTTAGTCGAATGGGATGGAAGGGAATGGAATTTACTCGAATGGAATGGAATGGAACGGACTAAAACGCAATAGTATGGAAAGGAATGGACTCGAATGCAATGGAACGGAATGGACTCTAATGGAACGGAATGGACACAAATGGAAGGGAGTCGAATGGACTAGAATGGAATGCAATGGAATGGAACCGAATGGAATGTACACGAATGGAATTGAACGGCATGGAATGGAAAGGAAAGGAATGGAACAGAACGGAACGGAGTGGAATGGACTAGAATGGAATGGAATGTAATGAAATGTGAGGGAATGGAATGGAATGGAATGCAATGAAATACAATGGAATGGAATGGATTGGAATGGAATTAACTCGAATGGGAAGGAATGGAATGGAATTCTCTCGAATGGAACGGAATGTAATGGACTGAAATGCAATAGGATGGAATGGAATGGACTCGAATGCGATAGAACAGAATGGACTCAAATGGAACGGAATGGACTCGAATGGAGTGGAGTCGAATGGACTCGAATGGAATGCAATGGAATGGAACCGAATGGAATGTACTCGAATGGAATGGAATGGAATGGAATGGAAAGGAAAGGAACAGAATGGAACGGAACGGAACGGAACGGAACGGAACGGAATGGAATCTACTCGAATTGTATGGAATGGAATTGAATGGACTCAAATGGAGTGTAATTGAATGGAAAGGACTCGAATGGAATGGAATGGAATAATCTCCAATGGAATGGAATGGACTTGAATAGAATGAAATGGAATGGAAAGGACTCGACTGGAATGGAATGGAATAGAATGGCCTCGAATTGCATGGAATGAATGAAATGGACTCGAATGGAATAGAATGGAATGGAATGCAATGGAATCGAATGGGATGGAATGTATTGGAAGGGACTTGAATGGAATGGATTGGAATGGACCCAAATGGAAAGGAGTGGAATGGACTCGAGTGGAATGGAACGGAATGTATTGGAATGGAATGCAATGGAATCGAATGGGATGGAATGTATTGCAATGGACTCGAATGGACTGGATAAGAATGGACCCGAATGGAATGGAACGGAATGGTGTCGAGTGGAATGGCATCTAATGTAATGGACTAGAATGGAATGGAATAGACTTGAATGGAATGGAAAGGAATGAACCCGAATGGAATGAAATGGAATGGAATGGTATGGTATGGAATGGAATGGACTTGAATGGAATAGAATGAATGGAATGGACTCGAAAGGATAGGAATGGACTGCACACAAATGGAATGGAAGGGACATGAATGGAACGGAATGGAATGGAATGAACTCAAATGGAATACAATGGAATTTAATGGAATGGGCTGTAACGGAATGGAATTGAAGGGACTTGAATGGAATAGAATGGAAGACACTCAAATGGAATGGAAGGCAATGGAATGGACTCAAATGGAAAGGATTGGAATTGACTCAAATGGAACGGAATGGAATTGAGTGGACTCGAAAGGATTCGGATGGAGTACAGTGGAATGGACTCAAATGGAATGGAATGGACTCGAATGCAATGGCATGCAATAGAGTGGACTAAAATGGAAAGGAGTGGATTTGAATCAAAAGGAATTGAATGGAATGGACCCGAATTGAATGGAATGGAATAGAATGGAAAGGAATGGAATGGAATGGAATAGAGTGGACTCGAATGGAATGGAATGGAATGGACTCGAATGGAATGGAATTGAATGGAATGGACTCGAATGGAATGGAATGGAATGGAATGTGCTCAAATGGAATGGAATGAAAAACAGTGGCATGGAATAGAATGAAGTGGAATGTAATGAGTTTGGAATGGACAGGAATGGAATGGAATGGAATGGAATGGAATGGAATGGACTCAAATGGAATAACACGGAATCGAATGGAATAGAATGTAACGGAATGTAATGAACACGAATGTAATGGAATGTAATGGAATGAAAGGTGCTGGAATGGAATGGAATGTAGTGGAAAGGAATGAAATGGAATGGATCTTGCACTAATGGGTTGGAATGGAATGGAATTTACTAGAATGGAATGGAATGGAATGGACTGAAATGGAATAGCATGGAATGGAATGGACTCGAATGCAATGGAATGGAATGGACTCGAATGGAACGGAATGGACTCGAAAGAGTGGAGTCGAATGGACTTGAACGGATTGCAATGGAATGGAACAGAATGGAATGTACTCGCATGGAATGGAAATGAATGGAATAGAACGGAACAGAACGGAATGGAATTGACTGGAATGGAAAGGAATGCAATAGAATGGAGTGGACTCGAATGATATGCAATGGAATGGACTCGAATGAATTGGAATGGACTCAAATACAATGGAATAGAATGGAAAGGAATCAACTGGAATGGAATGGAATAGAATGGCCTCAAATGGATTGACATGGAATGGAATGGACTCAAATGCAATGGAATGGAAGGAACCCAACGGAATGGAATGGACTCGAATAGAATGGTATGGAATGGAATGGACTCAACGGGAATGGAATAGATTAGAATGGCCTCGAATGGGATGGAATGGAATGGAAACTACTCAAATGGAATGGAATGTAATGGAACCGACAGGCAAGGAATGGAAAGGAATGGACCCGAATGGAATGGAATGGAATGGAATGCAATGGAATTGAATGGGATGGAATATATTGCAATGGACTCGAATGGAATGGATAGGAATGGACCCGAATGGAATCAATTGGAATGGTCTCGATTGGAATGGAACGGACTTGAATCATATTGAATGGAATGGAGTCGAAGGAATTGGAATGGAGTCCAGTTGAATGGAATGGAATAGAATGGAATGGAATGGATTGGAATAGAATGGAATGGAATGGAGTGGACTCGAATGGAATGGAATGCACTGAAATGGAATGGAATGCAATGGAACCCACTCGAATGGAATAGAATGGAATGGAATGGAAGGGCCTCGAATGAAATGGAATGAAATGGAATCGAATGGAATGTAGTGGACTCGAATGGAAAGGAATGGACTCGAAAGGAAAGGAATGGAATGGAGTGGAATGGAATGAAATGGGCTTCAATGGAATAGAATGCAATGGAATGGAAGGGACTCGAATGAAATGGAATGGAAAGGACTCGAATGCAATGGAATGCACTGGAATGGAATGTAATTATTAAGAATAGACTCAAAAGTAATGGAATGGAATGGACCCAATTGGAATAGAACGGAATGGAATGGAATGGAGAAGAAGGGAATGGAATGGAATGCAATGAAATGGAATGGAATGGATTTCAATGGAATGGAATGGAATAGAATGGAATGGAATAGAATAGATAGGGATGAAATGGAATGGAAGAGACTCCAATAGAATGAAATGCACTCCAAAGGAATGGAATAGAATGGAATGGAATGGAATAGAATGGAATGGACTCGAATGGAATGGGATTGACTCAAAAGGAATGGAATGGAAAGGAATGGACTCGAATGGAATGCAATGGAATGTATCTAAGTGGTATGGAAAGGATTGGACATGAATGGAATGGAAAGGAATAGACTGTAATGCAAAGGAAAGGATTGAAAAGGAATGTAATGTAATGGACTCGAATGGAATGGAAAGGACTCGAGTGGAATGGACTCAAATGGAATGTAAAGGCCTCGAGTGGAATGGAACGGAATGCAATGGACTCGAATGGAATGGATTGGAATGTATTCCAATGGAATGGAAAGAAATTGAACGGATTCGAGTCAAACCGAATGTGTTCGCATGGAATGGACTCGAATGGAATGGAATGTAATTGAATGAAATGGACTCGAACGGAATGGAATGGAATGGACGCGAATGGAATGGAATAAAATGGAGTAAAATGGAATGGAAATGAATGGTATATAATGGAATTGAATGGACAAAATAGGAATGCATTGGAAAAGAATGAAATGGAATTGAATGGACTCAATAGTAATGCAATGGAAAAGAATGTAATGGAAAGTAATGGCCTCGAAGAGAATGTAATGGAATGAAATGTGCTGAAATGGAATTGAATGGAAGGGAATTGAGTGGAAAAAAATTTTATAGAATGGACTCGCAGGGAATGCTGTTGAATTGAATGGACCCGAAAGCAATGGAATGGAATGGAACGGATTGGAAAGGAATGGAATGGAATGAAACGGAAAAGACTCGAATGGAATTTAATGGAATGGAATGGAATGGAATGGAAAGGAATGGACTAGAATTAAGTGGAGTGGAATGGAAAGGAATGGAATGGAGTGGAATGGAATTGACTCAAGTGGAATGGAATGCAATGGGCTCAAATGAAATGGAATGCAATGGACTCGAGTGAAATGGAATGCAGTGGAACGGAATCGAAAGAAATGCAGTGGAATGGAATAGACTGCAATACAACCGAATGGAATGTAATGGAGTGAAATGGAATGGACAAGAAAGACATGGAATGAAATAGAACAGGTTCAAGTTGAATGGAATGGAATAGAATGAAATGGAATGGAATACAATGGACTCAAATGGCATGGAATGGAATGGAATCAAAACGAATGGAATGGACTGGAATGGAATTTAATGCAATGGTGCCAAAAGGAATGGAATGGAAAGGAATGTAATTTACTCTAATGCGATGGTACTGAATGGAATTTAATATAATTGAATGGAATGGAATGGACTCAGATGGAATAGCATAGAATAGAATGGACTGTAATGCAATTGAATTGAATGGAATCGAATGGAATCGAACGGATTTCAATGGAGTGGTGTCTAATGGATTCGAATGGAATGCAATGGAATGGAATGGAATGTACTCGAATGGAATGGAATGTAATGAAATGAAACGGACTCGAATGGAATGGAATGGAATGGCATGGAATGGAATGGAATGGATTTAAATGGAATGCAGTTGATTTGAACAGAATGGAATGGAACGGAACGGAAAGGAATGCAATGGAATGGAATGGAACACAATGCAAGGGAATGCAATAGAATGGAAACTAATGAAATTGAATGGAATGGAATGCAATGCAATGCAATGCCATGAAATGCAATGCAAATAAATGAAATGGACTCGGATGGAATGGAATGGTCTCAAATGAAAAGGAATGGACCAGAATGAAATGGAATGGAAAGAAATGAAATGGACACGAATGGAATGGACCGTAATGGAATGGAAAGGAATGGAATGGAATGGAATGGAATAGAATGAAATAGAATGGATTGGAACAGAATGGAATGGAATGGACTCAAATGGAATGGACTCGAATGGAACGCAGTGGAATTTACTGGATTAGAATCTAACGGAATTAACTGTGATGAAAAGGAACGGAATGGACTCGAATGGAATCGATTGGAATTGAATGGACGTGAATGGAATGAAACAGAATGGACACGAAAGGAATGGAATGGAATGGAATGGAATGGAATGGAATGGAATGGAAAGGTGTTGAATGGAATAGAATGGAATGGAACGGACTCGAATGATATGGAATTTAATGGATTCCAAAGGAATGTAATGAACTCAATGGAATGGAATGGAATGGAATCAAAAGGAATGGAATGGAATGGACTCACGTGGAATGAAAGGGAATGGTATCAAATGCAATAGAATGAAATGGAATGGACTCGAGAGGAAAGGAATGGAATGGACACGAAAGGAATGGAATTGAATGGAATGGAATGGAATAGACCTGAAACGAATGTAATGGAAGGAAATGTGCTGCAATGGAATGGAATGTAATGGAATGGAATAAAATGTAATGGAATGGAATCGAATGGCATGTAGTTGAATTGCATGGACCTGAAAGCAATGGAATGGTATGGAACAGATTGGAAGGGAATGGAATGGAATGAAAAGGAAAAGCCTCGAAAGTAATGGAATGGAATGGAATGGAATAGACTCGAATGAAATGGAGTGGACTCGAATGGAATGGAGTGGAATGGAATTGACTCGAGTGGAATGGAACGGAATGGCATCGAAAGAAATGGCATGCAGTGGCATGGAGTCCAAAGGAATGCAATGGAAAGCAAAAGAATCGAATGGAATGGAATGGAACGGAATGGAAAGGAATGGAATTGACACGAATGAAATGGAATGGAATAGAATGGACTCCAAAGGAATGGAATGGAATGGAATGGAATGGAATGGAATTTACTCGAATGCGATGGAATGGAATCGAATTTACTCGAACGGAAATGAACGGAATGGACTCAAATGGAATAGCATGGAATGGTATGGACTCTAATGCACTGGAATTGAATGGATTCGAATGGAATGGAATGGAATGGCATGGAATGGAAAAGTTTGGATTTGAATTGAAAGGACCCAAAAAGAAAGGAATGGATTGGAATGGAATGGAATGGAATGGATTGGATTTGAATAGAAAGGACCCGAAAAGAATGGAATGGAATGGAATTGAATGAAATGAAGAGGCCTCGAATGGAATGGAATGGATTTGAATGGACTCGAATGAAATGGAATGGACTCGAACGGAATGGAAAAGAACGGAGCTGACTGGAGTGCAATGGAATGGAATAGAATTGATTTGAATGGAATGCAATGGACACGAAAGAAATGGAACAGAATGGAATGGAATGGAATGGAATGGAATGGAATGGAATGGAATGGACTCACATGGAACGGAATAGACTCGAATGGAATAGCACAGAATAGACTCGAATGGATTGGAATGCAATGGAATGGGCTCGGTGGAATGGAATAGAATGGACTCAAAAGGAATTCAATGGACTCGAAAGGATTGGAACAGAATGCAAAGGAATGGAATCGAATGGAATGCAATGGAATTGAATCGAATAGAATTGAATGGAGTTGCCACGAATGAAAAGGCTGGAATGGAATGGAATGGAATGGAATTGAAAGGAAAGGAATGGATTAGGCACAAATGGTATGGAATGGAATGGAATGGAATAGATTCGAATGGAATTGAATGGAATGGATTCAAATGACATAACATGGAATTGAATGGACGCGAAAGCAATGGAATGGAATGGACTCGAAAGGAATGGTATGGACTCAAACTAAATAGAGTGGAATGGAATCCAATGAAATGGAATGGAGTTGAACGGACTCGAATAGAATGGAATGTATCAGAATGGAATGAACTCAAATGGAATGGAATGGAATTTAATGAAATGGACTCGAATGGAATGGAATGGAATGGAATGTACTGGAATGGAATGGAATGTACTGGAATGCGTTTGAATTGAGTGGACCGGAAAATAATGGAATTTAATGGAATGGAATGAAATGGAAAGAAGTGGCTTCGAATGGATTCGAATGGAAAGGAATTTACTCGAATGAAATGGAATGGAATCGAATGGAATGAAATGGAATGGGATCCACTCGTGTGCAATGGAATGGAATGGAATGGATTCGAAGGGAATGCAATGGAATGGACACGAATGGAATAGAACCGAAAGGAATGGAACGGAAGGGAGAGGTACGGAACGGAACGGAATGGAATGGAACG
Organism: Homo sapiens; assembly: GCF_000001405.40. Taxonomy (NCBI): domain Eukaryota; kingdom Metazoa; phylum Chordata; class Mammalia; order Primates; family Hominidae; genus Homo; species Homo sapiens. The sequence continues at coordinate 33,147 of NT_167211.2, read as the reverse complement.
GAACGGAATGGAAAGGAATGGAACGGAACGCAATGGATTGAAATGGAATGGAATAAAATGGATTGAAATGGAATGGAATGGAATGGATTGGAATCTAATGGAATGGAATATAATTGACTCGAAAGGAATGGAATGCAGTTGAGTGCACTCAAATGGAATAGAATGGAACGGAATGGAAGGGACTCGAATGAAATGGAACAGAATGGACTCGAATGTAATTGAATGGACTGGAATGGAGTGGAATGGAATGGTATGGAGAAGAATGGAAAGATAGGAATGGAATGGAATGGAAGGGATTATAATAGGACGCAAAGGACTCCAAAGGAATGGAATAGAACGGAATAGACAGCAATGGAATGGATTCAAATCGTATAGAATGGAATGGAAAATATAGGACAGGAGAAAATGGAATGGAATGGATTCGAATGGAATGTACTGGACTCAAAAGGAATGAAATGGAATGGACTTAAGTGGAATGGAATGGAATGGACAGGAATGGAATAAAATGGAACAGACGGTAATGTAAACAAATGGATTGGAAAGGAATGGAATGGAATAGACTCGAAAGGAATGGAAAGGACTCGAGTGGAATGGATTGGAATGGAATGGACTCGAATGGAATGGAAAGGATTCGAGTGGAATGGAACGGAATGCAATGGACTCGAACGGAATGGGGTGGAAGTTATTCTAATGGAATGGAGTGGATTTTATTATAATGGAATGGAATGGATTTGAATCGAACTGAATATAATGTCATGGAATGGACTCGAATGTAATGTAATTTAATGGAATGAAATGTATTCGAACGGAATGGAATGGAATGGACTCGAATGGAATGGAATGGAATGGAATAAAATGGAATGGACAACAATGGTATGCAATGGAATTGAATGGACTCAACAGGAACGCAATGTAAAAGAATGTAATGGAATGGAATGGACTCGAAAGGAATGTAATGGAATGAAATGTGCTGAAATGGAATGGAATGGAAAAAAAATGTAACAGAATGGAATTGAAGGGAATGAAGTTGAATTCAATGGACATGAAAGCAATGGAATGGAATGGAACGGATTTGAAAGGAACGGAATGGAATGAAATGGAAAAGACACGAACGCAATGGAATGGAAAGGACTAGAATGAAATGGAGTGGAATGGAATGGAATAGAATGGAATCGACTCAAGTGGAATGGAATGGAAAGGACGCGTATGATATGGAATGCAGTGGAATGGACTAGAATGGAATGCAATGGAGTGGATTAGACACGAATGGAATGGAATGGAATGGAATGGAATGAGATGGAATGGACGCAAATGTAATGGAATGAAACATAATTGCCTCGGAATGGAATGGATTGGAATGGAATGGAATGGAATAGAATCTAATGGAAAAAATATAATAGAATGGACTCGAAGGGAATGCAGTTGAATTGAATAGACACAAAAACAATGGAATGGAATGGAACGGACGGGAAGGGAATGGTATGGAATGAAACGGAAAGACTAGAATGGAATGGAAAGGAATGGAATGAACTAGATTGAAATATAGTGGAATGGAATGGAATGGAATGCAATGGAATGGAATCGACTCGAGTGGAATGGAATGGAATGGACTCGAATAAAACGGAATGCAGAGGAATGAACTCGAATGGAATGCAATGGGATGGAATAGACTCGAATGGAATGGAAAGAAATGTAATTTAATGGAAAGAAATGGAATGGATGGGAATGAAATGGAATGAAATACAATGGATTCGAATGGAATGGAATGGAATGGAATGCAACAGACACAAATGGAATGGAAAGGACTTGAAAAGAATGGAATGGACTCGAATGGAATTTATTGGAATGGTTCCAAATGGAATGGAATGGAATGGAATTTAATTGAACGCGATGGAATGGAATGGAATTTACTCCAATGGACTGGAATGGAATGGAATCAAAAGGTAAAGAATGGAATGGATTGGACTCGAATAAAATGGAATGGAATGGACTCGAATGCAATCATATGGACTCGATTGGAATAGAGTGGAAAGGAATCCAAAGGATAGGAGTGGAATTGAAGGGACTCGAATAGAATGGAAAGTAACGGAATGGAATGAACTCGAATGGAATGGAATGAAATGGACTCGAATGCAATGGAATGTTCTGGAATGGAATGGAATGCAATGCATTTGAATTGAATGAACCCGAAAAGAATGGAATGGAATGGAATGGAATGGAATGGAATGGAATGGAATGGAGTGGATTTGAATTGAATGGACCTGAAGAGAATGGAATGGAACGGACTGGAATGATGAGGCCTCGAATGGAATGGATTGGATCGGAATGGACTCAAATGAAATGGAATGGACTCGAATGGAACGGTATAGAATTTAATCGACTCGAGGGCAATGGAATGGAATCGAATAGAATGGAATCGACTCGAGTTCAATGGAATGGAATGGAATGGATACGAATGGAATGGAATGGACCCGAACGGAATGGAACGAAATGGAATGGAATGGAATGGAACTGAATGGAATTTCCTCGCATGGAATGGAATAGACTAGAATGGAATGGAAAGGAGTAACTCGAATAAAATGGAATGCAATGGAATGCACTCGAATGGAATGGAATAGAATAGAATAAAAAGGAATTCACTGGACTTGAAAGGAATGGAATGGAACGCAATGGAATGGAATCGAATGGATTCAAGTGGAACTGTCTCGAAAGGAATTGAATGGATTGGCCACGAATGGAAGGGGTGGAATGGAAGGGACTAGAATTGAATGGCAAGGAATGCATTGGTCTCAAATGGAATGGAATGTATTGGAATGCAATTGAATGGAATCGAAAGGAATCCAATGGAATTGACAGGAATGGAATTGAATGGAGTGACCACGAATGGAAGGGGTGGAATGGAATGGACTGGAATTGAAATCAAAGGAATGCACTGGGCTCAAAAGGAATGGAAAGGAATGGATTCGAATGGAATTGAATGGAATGGATTCAAATGTAATTGCATGGAATGAAATGGACTTGAATGCAATGGATTGGAGTGGACTCGAATGGAATGGTATGGACTAGAACAGAATAGAGTGGAATGGACTTCAATTGAATGCAATGGAATTGAATGGACAAGAATAGAATGCAATATAACAGAATGGAATGAACTGGAATGCAATGGAATGGAATGGAATGAAATGGACTTGAATGGAATGGAATCGAATGGAATGTACTGGAATAGAATGGAATGCATTTGAATTGAATGGACCCGAAAAGAAGAATGGAAAGGAATGGAATGGAATGGAATGGAAAGGAATTGAATCAACCTGAGTGGAATGGATTGGAATGGAATAGAATGGAATGGAATAGAATGGAATTGAATTGAGTCAACAGGAATGGAATGGAATGGAACGGAATGGAAAGGAAAGGAATGGAATGGAATTGAATGGAATGGAATGGAAAGGAACGGAATGGAGTGGAATGTGGTAATTGAATGGAATGGAATCGAATGGAATCAACTGGAGTGGAATGGAATGGAATGCAATGGAATGGAATAGAAGGGAATGGTAGGGAATGTAATAGAATGTAAAGGAATGAACCTCAATGGAATATAATGTGATGTAATGGAATGGAATGGAATGGAATTGAATGGAAAGGAAAGGAGTGGAATTGAATCCACTGGAATGGAATGGAATGGAATGGTATGGAATGTAAAGGAATCAACCCGAGTGGAATGGAATGGATTGGTCTGGAATGGAATTGAATGGATAGGAAAGGAATGGAATGGAATAGAATGGATTGGAATGGAATAAAATGGAATTGAATCAACACGAGTGGAGTGGAAAGGAATTGATTGGAATGGATTGGAATGGAATAGAATAGAATGGAATTGAATCAACCAGAGTGGAATGCAATGGAATGGAATGGAATGGAATGGAATGGAATGGAATGGATTGGAATGAAACGGAATGGAATGGAATGGAATCAACCCGATTGGAATGGAATGGAATGGCATGGCATGGAATGGAATAGAATGGAATTGATTCAACATGAGTGGAAGGGAATTGAATGGAATAGAATGGAATTGAATCAACATGAGTGGAATAGAATGGAATGGAATGGAATGGAATGGAATCAACCGGAATGGAACGGAAAGGAATGAAACGGTATGGAAAGAAAGGAATTGAATGGAATGGAAGGGAATGGAAAGGAATTTGTTGGAATGGAATGGAATGGAATGGAAAGGAATGGAATCAACTGAAAAGAAAAGGAATGGAATGGAATGCAATGGAATGGAATGGAATGGTATAGAATGCGATGGAATGGTAGGGAATGGAATGGAACTGTAGGGAATGGAATGCAACGCAATGGAATCAACACGAGTTGTATGGAATGGAATGGAATGGAACGGAATGTAGTGGAACTGCATCCTCTGGAATGGAATGGAATAGAATGGAATGGAATAGAATGGTATGGAATGTAAAGGAGTCAACACGATTGGAATGGAATGGATTGGTCTAGAATGGAATTGAATGGATTGTAAATGAATGGAATGGAATAGAATGCAATGGAATGGAATAAAACTGAATTGAATAAGCACGAGTGGAGTGGAAAGGAATGGAAAGGAATGGAATGGAATGAAATCGAATGGAATGGAATGGAATCAAACCGATTGGAATGGAATGGAATGGAAAGGAATGGAATGGAAAAGAATGGAATTGAGTCAACATGAGTGGAATGGAAGGGAAAGGTATGGAATGGAATTCAATGGAATAGAATGGAATTGAATCAACACGAGTGGAATAGATTGGAATGGAACGGAATGGAAAGGAATGGAATGGAATGGAATCAACTGGAATGGAATGGAATCGAATGGAATTTAATGGAATGGAAATGAATGGAATGGAATGGCATGGGATTGAACGTAATAGAAAGCAATTGAATCAACCTGGGTGGAATGGAATGCAATGGAGTGGAATGGGATGGAATGGCATAGAATGGAATGGATTGGAATCAACCCGAGTCGAATGGAAAGGAATTGAATGGAATGGAAAGGAAGGGAATAGAATTAACTGGAATGGAATGGAATGGAATCAACTGGAATGGAATGGAATGGAATGGAATGGAAAGGAATGGAATCGAATCAACTGGAATGGAATGGAATGTACTGGAAAGGAATGCAATGGAATGGAGTGGAATGGAAAGGAATCAACACGATTGGAATGGAATGGAATAAAATGGAATGAAATGGAATGGAATAGAATGGAATTGAATCAACATGAGTGGAATGGAATAGAATGGAATGGAATGGAATGGAATGGAATGGAATGGAATGGAATGGAATGGAATGGAATAGAACGGAATTGAATCAACCCGAGTGGAAGGGAAGGGAATGGAATGGAATCAACTGGAATGGAAAGGAATGGAATGGAATGGAATGGTATGGAATGGAATGGAATGGAATGGAGTGGAATGGGAAGGAATAGAATGGAATTGAATGAACTGGAATGGAATGGAATGGAATGTAAAGAAATGGAAAGAATGCAATGGAGTTGAATGTAATGGAATGGAATGGAATGGATTCAACTGGAATGCAATGGAATGGAATGTAATGGAATTGGAATGGAATGGAATCAAACCTAGTTGAAAGGAATGAAATGGAATGGAATGGAACGGAATGTAATTGAGTCAACCTGCGTGGAATGAATGGAATGGAATGGAATGGAATGGAATGGAATGGAATGAATTGGAATTGAATTGAATGGAATGGAAAGGAAAGGAATTGAAAGGAATGGAATAGAATGGATTAGAAAGGAATTGAATCAACCTGAGTGGAATGAAATGGAATGGAATGGAATCGAATGGAATTCACTGGAATTCAATCAACCTGAGAGGAATGGAATGGAATGGAAAGGAACGGAATGGAATCAACACGGGTGGAATAGAATGGAATGGAATGGAATGGAATGGAATGGAATGGAATAGAATGCAATTGAATCAACCCGAGTGGAATGCAATGGAATGGAATAGAAGGGAAAAGAATCAACCCAATAGGAATGGAATGGAATGGAATGAAATGGAATAGAATGCAATTGAATCACCAGCAGTGGAATGGAATAGAATGGAATAGAATGGAATTGAATAAACCCGAGTGGAATAGAATGGAAGGAATAGGAATGGAATGCAATGGAGTGGAATGGAATGGAATAGAAAGGAATTGAATCAACTGGAATGCAATGGAATGGAATGGAATGGAAAGGAATGGAATGGAGTGGAATGGAATGGAATGGAATGGAATGGAATGGAAATGAATTTTGAAATGGAATGGAATGGAATGGAATGGAAAGTAATGGAATCAACTGGATTGGAATTGAATGGAATGGAATGGAATGGAATGGAATGGAATGGTAGGGAATGAAATGGAATATACAGGAATGGAATGGAATGAAATGGAATGGAATGGAATGGAATGGAATCCACCGGAATAGAATGCATTGGAATGGAATGGAATGGAAAGGAATGGAATGGAATCACCAGGAATGGAATGGAATGAAAAGGAATGGAATGGAATGGAAAGGAATAGAATGGAGTGGAATGGAATGGAATAGAATGGAATTGAATCAACCGGAATGGAATGGAATGGTATGGACTGGAATGGAATGGAATAGAATGGAATTGAATCAACCCTAGTGGAATGGAATGGAATGGAATGGATTGGAATGGAATGGAAAGGAATGGAATGGAATGGAATCAATTAAAATGGAATGGAATGGAATGGAATGGTAGGGAATGCAATAGAATAGCATCGAACGTAATGGAATGGTAAGGAATGTAATTGAATGAATGGAATCAAAACGAGGGGAATAGAATGGAATGGAATGGAATGGAAATGAATGGAATGGAATTAAATACAGTGGAATGGAACGGAATAGAATGGAATGGAATGGAAACGAATCGAATGGAATGTAATGGAATGGAATGCAATGGAATGGAAAGGAATGGAATGGAGTGGAATGAATCAGAGTCGAATGGAACGCAATGGAATGGAATAGAAAGCAATGGAAACAATGGGAATGGAATGCAATGGATTGGAATGGAATGGAATGGAATGGAATGAACCCGAGTGGGAAGGAGTGGAATGGAATGGAATGCAATGGACTGGAATGGAATGGAATGGAATGGTTTCAAATGGAATGGAATGGAATTGAATAAAAGGAATTGAATCAACCTGAGTGCAATGGAATGGAAAGGAAAGTAATGGAATGGAATGGAATGGAATAGAATGGAATTGAATCAACCGGAATGGAATGCAGTGGAATGGAATGGAAAGGAGTGGAATGGAATGGAATGGAATCGAATGGAATTGAATCAACGGGAATGGAATGGATTGGAATGGTATGGAATGGAATGGAATCAACCCGAGTGGAAAGGAATGGATAGGAATGGAATGGAATGAAATAGAATGGAATTGAATCAACACGAGTGGAGTGGAATGAAATGGAATGGAATGGAAAGTAATGGAATGCAATGGAATGGAATCAAATGTAATGGAATGGACGGTAATGGAATGGAGTGTAATGGTATGGAAGAGAATGGAATTAAATAAACCGGAATGGAATGGAATACAATGGAATGGAATGAAATGGAATGGAATTGAATCAACTGGAATGGAATGGAATGGAATAGAATGGAATGGAATGGAATGCAAAGGAATGGAACAAATTGGAATGGAATGGAATGGAATAGAAGGGAATGGAATGCTAGGGAATGCAATGGAATGGTATGGAATGGAATGGTAGGGTATGTAATGTAAAGGAATGGATTCAAAACGAGTCGAATGGAATGTAATAGAATGAAAAGGAATCGAATGGAATGGAATTGAATGCACTGGAATGGAATGGAATGAAATGGAATGGAATGGAATCAACCAGAGTCGAAAGGAATACATTGGAATGGAATGGAATGCAATGGAATGGAATGGAATGGAATGGAATGGAATTGAATCAACCTGTGTGGAATGATTGGAATGGAATGGAATGGAATCGAATGGAATCAAATGGAATCAAATGGAATGGAATGGAATGCAATGGAATGGAATAGAAAGGAATTGAGTCAACGTGAGTAGAATGGAATGGAATGGAATAGAATGGAATGGAATAGAATGGAATAGAATCAACCTGAGTGGAAAGGAATGGAATGGAATGGAATGCAAACAATACGTATGGAATGCAATGGAATTGAATAGAAAGGAATGGAATGGAATAGAACGCAATTGATTCAACCCTATTGGAATGGAGGAGAATGCAATGGAATGTAATAGAATGGAATAGAATGGAATTGAATCAACCCAAGTGAAATGGAATGGAATGGAATGGAATGGAATTTAATAAACTGGAATGGAATGGAATGGAATGGATTCAACTGGAGTGGAATGGAAAGGAATGGAAATGAATGGAATGGAATGGAATAGAATGGAATTCAATCAACTGGAATGGAACGAAATGGAATGGAATGGAATGGAATAGAATGGAATTGAATAAACTGTAATGGAATGGAATGGAATTCAATGGAATGGAATGCAATAGAATGGAATGGAATTGAAGAGAATGGAGTTGAACGGAATAGAATGGAACGAATGGAATGGAATGGAATCAACCCGAGTGAAATGGAATGGAATGCAATGGAATGGAAAGAAATGGAATGTAATGAAAGGGAATGGAATCAACCAGTGGGGAACGGAATGGAATGGAATGGAATAAAATGGAATGGAATGGAATCAAGCAGAGTGGAATGGTATGGAATGGAATGGAATGCTATGGAATGGAATAAAATAGAATGGAATGGAATCAAACTGATTGGAATGGAATGGAATTGATTGGAAATGAATGGAATGGAATGGAATGGAATGGAATGGAATGGAATCAACCAAGTGGAATGGAATGGAATGGAATGGAATGGAATGGAATGGAATAGAATAGAATGGGATCAGGCCGATTCGAATGGAATGGAATGGAATGGAATGGGGTGAAATGGAATGGAATCAACCCGTTTCCAATTGAATGGAATGGAATGGAATGGAATGGAATGGTTTGGAATGGATTGGAATGGAATCAACCAGAGTCGAATGGAATGAAATGGAACATAATGGAAAGGAATGGAATGGAAAGGAATGGAATGGAATAAACACGAGTGTAATGGAATGGAATGGAGTGGAATCAAGTGGAATGGAATGGAATTGCCTGGAATCAACCCGAGTGGAATGGAATGGAATGGATTGGAATGGAATCAACTGGAAAGGAATGGAATGGAATGACATGTAAAGGAATGGAACAGAATGGGATGGAATCGAATGGAATTGAAAAAACCCAAGGGGAATGGAATGGAATGGGATGGAATGCAATGGAATGGAAAGGAATGGAATGGAATGGAATCCACCCGAGTGGAATGGAATGGAGTCGAATGGAATGGAATCAACACTAGTGGAATGGAATAGAATGGAATGGAATGGAATGGAATAAAATGGCATGGAATGGAATCAACCCGTGTGGAATGGAATGGAATGGAATGGAAGGGAATGAAATGGAATAAAATGCAATGGAATGGAATCAACCCAAGAGGAATGGAATGGAATGGAATGGAATCAAATGGAATCAACAAGAGTGGAATGGAATGGAATGGAAAAGAATGGAACGGAATGGACTGGAATCAGCAGGATTCGAATGGAATGCAGTGGAATGGAATGGAATAGAATGGAATGGAATGGAATGGAATAGAATGGAATGGAATGGAATCAACCCGAGTCGAATGGAATGGAATTGAATGGAATGAAAAGGAATGGAAATGAATGGAATGGAATCAACACGAGTAGAATGCAGTGGAATGGAATGAAATGCAATGGAAAGGAATGGAATCAACACGAGTGGAATGGAATTGAATGGAATCAACTGGAGTGGAATGGAATGGAATCGAATGCATTGGATTCAAACCAAATGGAATGTAATGCAATGGAATGGAAAGGAATAAAATGGAATCGAATGGAATCAATCTGAGTGGAATTGAATGGAATGGAATGGAGTGGAGTGGAACGGATTGGAATGGAATGAACTGTAAAGGTATGGAATGGAATGGCATGAGAAAGAATGGAATGTATGGGAAAGGAATCGAATGGAATTGAATCAACCTGAGGGGAATAGAATGGAATGGAATGGAATGGAAACAACGCGAGTGGAATGGAGTGGAATGGATAGGAATGGAATGGGATGGAATGGAATGCAATGGAATGGAATGGAATGGAATGGAATGCAATGGAATTCAAAAGAATGGAATGGAGTGGAATGGAATGGAATGGAATGGAGTGGAATGGAATGGAATGGAATGGAATGGAATGGAATGGAATGGAAAGGAATCTACCCAAATAGAATGGAATGGAAAACAATGCAATGGATTGGAAAGGAATCAATCCGAATAGAATGGAATGGAATAGAATCAACACTAGTTGAATAGAACGGAATGGAATGGAATAGAATGGAATGGAATGGAATGGAATGGAATGGAATCAACCCGAGTGGAATGGAATGGAATGGATAGGAATGCAATGGAATTTAACTGAATGGAATCAACCCGAGGGGAATGGAAGGGAATGAAATGGAATGGAATGGATTCCATCCTGGTGGAACGAAATGGAATGGAAAGGAATGGAATGGAATGGAATGAACTGGAATGCAATGGAATGAAAAGGAATAAACCCGAATAGAATTGAATGGAATGGAATGGAAAAGAATGGAATGGATTGGAATGGAATCAATTGGAATGCTATGGTATGGAATGGCATGAATAGGAATGGAATGGAATGGCATGAAAAGGAATGGAATGGAATGGAATGAAATGGAAAAGACACGAACGCAATGGAATGGAAAGGACTAGAATGAAATGGAGTGGAATGGAATGGAATAGAATGGAATCGACTCAAGTGGAATGGAATGGAAAGGACGCGTATGATATGGAATGCAGTGGAATGGACTAGAATGGAATGCAATGGAGTGGATTAGACACGAATGGAATGGAATGGAATGGAATGGAATGAGATGGAATGGACGCAAATGTAATGGAATGAAACGTAATTGCCTCGGAATGGAATGGATTGGAATGGAATGGAATGGAATAGAATCTAATGGAAAAAATATAATAGAATGGACTCGAAGGCAATGCAGTTGAATTGAATAGACACAAAAGCAATGGAATGGAATGGAACGGACGGGAAGGGAATGGTATGGAATGAAACGGAAAGACTAGAATGCAATGGAAAGGAATGGAATGAACTAGATTGAAATATAGTGGAATGGAATGGAATGGAATGCAATGGAATGGAATCGACTCGAGTGGAATGGAATGGAATGGACTCGAATAAAACGGAATGCAGAGGAATGAACTCGAATGGAATGCAATGGGATGGAATAGACTCGAATGGAATGGAAAGAAATGTAATTTAATGGAATGAAATGGAATGGATGGGAATGAAATGGAATGAAATACAATGGATTCGAATGGAATGGAATGGAATGGAATGCAACGGACACAAATGGAATGGAAAGGACTTGAAAAGAATGGAATGGACTCGAATGGAATTTATTGGAATGGTTCCAAATGGAATGGAATGGAATGGAATTTAATTGAACGCGATGGAATGGAATGGAATTTACTCCAATGGACTGGAATGGAATGGAATCAAAAGGTAAAGAATGGAATGGATTGGACTCGAATAAAATGGAATGGAATGGACTCGAATGCAATCGTATGGACTCGATTGGAATAGAGTGGAAAGGAATCCAAAGGATAGGAGTGGAATTGAAGGGACTCGAATAGAATGGAAAGTAACGGAATGGAATGAACTCGAATGGAATGGAATGAAATGGACTCGAATGCAATGGAATGTTCTGGAATGGAATGGAATGCAATGCATTTGAATTGAATGAACCCGAAAAGAATGGAATGGAATGGAATGGAATGGAATGGAATGGAATGGAATGGAATGGAGTGGATTTGAATTGAATGGACCTGAAGAGAATGGAATGGAACGGACTGGAATGATGAGGCCTCGAATGGAATGGATTGGATCGGAATGGACTCGAATGAAATGGAATGGACTCGAATGGAACGGAATAGAATTTAATCGACTCGAGGGCAATGGAATGGAATCGAATAGAATGGAATCGACTCGAGTTCAATGGAATGGAATGGAATGGATACGAATGGAATGGAATGGACCCGAACGGAATGGAACGGAACGGAATGGAATGGAATGGAACTGAATGGAATTTCCTCGCATGGAATGGAATAGACTAGAATGGAATGGAAAGGAGTAACTCGAATAAAATGGAATGCAATGGAATGCACTCGAATGGAATGGAATAGAATAGAATAAAAAGGAATTCACTGGACTTGAAAGGAATGGAATGGAACGCAATGGAATGGAATCGAATGGATTCAAATGGAACTGTCTCGAAAGGAATTGAATGGATTGGCCACGAATGGAAGGGGTGGAATGGAAGGGACTAGAATTGAATGGCAAGGAATGCATTGGTCTCAAATGGAATGGAATGTATTGGAATGCAATTGAATGGAATCAAAAGGAATCCAATGGAATTGACAGGAATGGAATTGAATGGAGTGACCACGAATGGAAGGAGTGGAATGGAATGGACTGGAATTGAAATCAAAGGAATGCACTGGGCTCAAAAGGAATGGAAAGGAATGGATTCGAATGGAATTGAATGGAATGGATTCAAATGTAATTGCATGGAACGAAATGGACTTGAATGCAATGGATTGGAGTGGACTCGAATGGAATGGTATGGACTAGAACAGAATAGAGTGGAATGGACTTCAATTGAATGCAATGGAATTGAATGGACAAGAATAGAATGCAATATAACAGAATGGAATGAACTGGAATGCAATGGAATGGAATGGAATGAAATGGACTTGAATGGAATGGAATCGAATGGAATGTACTGGAATGGAATGGAATGCATTTAAATTGAATGGACCCGAAAAGAAGAATGGAAAGGAATGGAATGGAATGGAATGGAAAGGAATTGAATCAACCTGAGTGGAATGGATTGGAATGGAATAGAATGGAATGGAATAGAATGGAATTGAATTGAGTCAACAGGAATGGAATGGAATGGAACGGAATGGAAAGGAAAGGAATGGAATGGAATTGAATGGAATGGAATGGAAAGGAACGGAATGGAGTGGAATGTGGTAATTGAATGGAATGGAATCGAATGGAATCAACTGGAGTGCAATGGAATGGAATGCAATGGAATGGAATAGAAGGGAAAGGTAGGGAATGTAATAGAATGTAAAGGAATGAACCTCAATGGAATATAATGTGATGTAATGGAATGGAATGGAATGGAAAGGAAAGGAGTGGAATTGAATCCACTGGAATGGAATGGAATGGAATGGTATGGAATGTAAAGGAATCAAACCGAGTGGAATGGAATGGATTGGTCTGGAATGGAATTGAATGGATAGGAAAGGAATGGAATGGAATAGAATGGATTGGAATGGAATAAAATGGAATTGAATCAACACGAGTGGAGTGGAAAGGAATGGAATGGAATGGATTGGAATGGAATAGAATAGAATGGAATTGAATCAACCCGAGTGGAATGGAATGGAATGGAATGGAATGGAATGGAACGGAATGGAATGGATTGGAATGAAACGGAATGGAATGGAATGGAATCAACCCGATTGGAATGGAATGGAATGGCATGGCATGGAATGGAATGGAATGGAATAGAATGGAATTGAATCAACATGAGTGGAAGGGAATTGAATGGAATAGAATGGAATTGAATCAACATGAGTGGAATGGAATGGAATGGAATGGAATGGAATGGAATCAACTGGAATGGAACGGAAAGGAATGAAACGGTATGGAAAGAAAGGAATTGAATGGAATGGAAGGGAATGGAAAGGAATTTGTTGGAATGGAATGGAATGGAAAGGAATGGAATCAACTGAAAAGAAAAGAAATGGAATGGAATGCAATGCAATGGAATGGAATGGTATAGAATGCGATGGAATGGTAGGGAATGGAATGGAACTGTAGGGAATGGAATGCAACGCAATGGAATCAACACGAGTTGTATGGAATGGAATGGAATGGAACGGAATGTAGTGGAACTGCATCCTCTGGAATGGAATGGAATAGAATGGAATGGAATAGAATGGTATGGAATGTAAAGGAGTCAACACGATTGGAATGGAATGGATTGGTCTAGAATGGAATTGAATGGATTGTAAATGAATGGAATGGAATAGAATGCAATGGAACGGAATAAAACTGAATTGAATAAGCACGAGTGGAGTGGAAAGGAATGGAAAGGAATGGAATGGAATGAAATCGAATGGAATGGAATGGAATCAAACCGATTGGAATGGAATGGAATGGAAAGGAATGGAATGGAAAAGAATGGAATTGAGTCAACATGAGTGGAATGGAAGGGAAAGGTATGGAATGGAATTCAATGGAATAGAATGGAATTGAATCAACACGAGTGGAATAGATTGGAATGGAACGGAATGGAAAGGAATGGAATGGAATGGAATCAACTGGAATGGAATGGAATCGAATGGAAATTAATGGAATGGAAATGAATGGAATGGAATGGCATGGGATTGAACGTAATAGAAAGCAATTGAATCAACCTGAGTGGAATGGAATGCAATGGAGTGGAATGGGATGGAATGGCATAGAATGGAATGGATTGGAATCAACCCGAGTCGAATGGAAAGGAATTGAATGGAATGGAAAGGAAGGGAATAGAATTAACTGGAATGGAATGGAATGGAATCAACTGGAATGGAATGGAATGGAATGGAATGGAAAGGAATGGAATCGAATCAACTGGAATGGAATGGAATGTACTGGAAAGGAATGCAATGGAATGGAGTGGAATGGAAAGGAATCAACACGACTGGAATGGAATGGAATAAAATGGAATGAAATGGAATGGAATAGAATGGAATTGAATCAACATGAGTGGAATGGAATAGAATGGAATGGAATGGAATGGAATGGAATGGAATGGAATAGAACGGAATTGAATCAACCCGAGTGGAAGGGAAGGGAATGGAATGGAATCAACTGGAATGGAAAGGAATGGAATGGAATGGAATGGTATGGAATGGAATGGAATGGAATGGAGTGGAATGGGAAGGAATAGAATGGAATTGAATGAACTGGAATGGAATGGAATGGAATGTAAAGAAATGGAAAGAATGCAATGGAGTTGAATGGAATGGAATGGAATGGAATGGATTCAACTGGAATGCAATGGAATGGAATGTAATGGAATTGGAATGGAATGGAATCAAACCTAGTTGAAAGGAATGAAATGGAATGGAATGGAACGGAATGTAATTGAGTCAACCTGCGTGGAATGAATGGAATGGAATGGAATGGAATGGAATGGAATGGAATGAATTGGAATTGAATTGAATGGAATGGAAAGGAAAGGAATTGAAAGGAATGGAATAGAATGGATTAGAAAGGAATTGAATCAACCTGAGTGGAATGAAATGGAATGGAATGGAATCGAATGGAATTCACTGGAATTCAATCAACCTGAGAGGAATGGAATGGAATGGAATAGAATGGAATGGAATAGAATGGTATGGAATGTAAAGGAGTCAACACGATTGGAATGGAATGGATTGGTCTAGAATGGAATTGAATGGATTGTAAAGGAATGGAATGGAATAGAATGCAATGGAACGGAATAAAACTGAATTGAATAAGCACGAGTGGAGTGGAAAGGAATGGAATGGAATGGAATGGAATGAAATCGAATGGAATGGAATGGAATCAAACCGATTGGAATGGAATGGAATGGAAAGGAATGGAATGGAATAGAATGGAATTGAGTCAACATGAGTGGAATGGAAGGGAAAGGTATGGAATGGAATTCAATGGAATAGAATGGAATTGAATCAACACGAGTGGAATAGATTGGAATGGAACGGAATGGAAAGGAATGGAATGGAATGGAATCAACTGGAATGGAATGGAATCGAATGGAATTTAATGGAATGGAAATGAATGGAATGGAATGGCATGGGATTGAACGTAATAGAAAGCAATTGAATCAACCTGAGTGGAATGGAATGCAATGTAGTGGAATGGGATGGAATGGCATAGAATGGAATGGATTGGAATCAACCCGAGTCGAATGGAAAGGAATTGAATGGAATGGAAAGGAAGGGAATAGAATTAACTGGAATGGAATGGAATGGAATGGAATGGAATGGAATCAACCCGAGTGGAATGGAAAGAAATGAAATGGAATGGAATGGAATGGAACGGAATCAACTGGAAAGGAATGGAATGGAATGGAATGGAATGGAATGCAGTAAATCCGAGTGGAATGGAATGGAATGGAATGGAATGGAATGGAATCAACACGTGTGGAATGGAATGGAGTGGAGTTGTATGGAATGGAATGGAATTGAATGGAATCAACGCGAGTGGAATGGGATGGAATGGCTTGGAATGGAATCAACCCGTGTGGAATGGTATGGAATGGAATGGAATGGAATGGAATTGAATGGAATGAACCCGACTGGAATGGAATGGAATGCAATGCAATGGAATCAACCAGAGTGTATTGGAATGCAATGAAGTGGAATGGAATGAAATTGAATTTAATGGAATGGAATGGAATCAACCCGAGTGGAATGGAATGAAATGGATTAGATTGGAGTGTAATGGAATTGAATGAAACCAAACCGAGTAGAATGGAATGAAATGGAATGGAATGGAAACAACCCGACTGGAATGCAATGGAATAGAATGGAATGCAGTGGAATAGAATCAGCACTAATTGAACGGAATGGAAAGGAATGGAATAAAATGGCATGGAATGGAATCAACCCGAGTGGAATGGAATGGAATGGAATGGAATGGAATGGAATGGAATGGAATGGAATGGATTGGAATGGAATGGAATGGAATGGAATGGAATGGAATAGAATGGAATGGAATGACATGGAATGTAATAAAATGGAATTGAATGGAATCAACCAGAGTCGAATGGAATGGAAGTGAATGGAATGGAATGGAATGGAAATGAATGCAATGGAATCAACAAGAGTGCAACGGAATAGAATGGAATGAAATGGAATGGAATGGAATGGAATCAACAAGAGTGGAATGGAATTGAATGGAATCAAACAGAGTGGAATGGAATGGAATGGAATGGAATGGAATGGAATAAACCCAAGAGGAATGGAATTGAATGGAATCAACCCATGTGGAATGGATTTGAATGCAATGGAATGGAATGGAATAAAATGGAATGGAAGGGAATCAACCCTAATGGAATGGAATGGAATGGAATGGAATGGAATGGAATGGAATGCAATGGAATGGAATGGAATGGAATGGAATGGAATGCAATGAAATCAACCCGAGTCGAATGGAATCGAATGGAATGGAATTGAATGGAATGGAATGGAATCAACCCGAGTGGAATGGAACGGAATGGAATAAACCCGAATGGAATGGAGTGGAATGGAATGGAAAGGAAAGGAATAGAATGGAATCAACCCGAGTGGAAAGGAATGGAATGGAATGTTATCAACCCGAGTGGAAGGGAAAGGAAAAGAATGAAATGGAATGCAATCGAATGGAGTCAACCTGAGTGGTATGGAACGCAATGGAATACATTGGAATGTAATGGAATGGAATGGAAACAACACTAGTGGAAAGGAATGGAATGGAATGGAGTGGAATCAACACGAGGGGATTGGAAAGGAAAGCAATTGAATGGAATGGAATGGAATGGTATAGAATAAACCCGAGTGGACTGGAATAAAATGGAATGGAATAAAATGGAATGGAATGGTATCAACCCAAGTTGAATGGAATGGAATGGAATGGGATGGAATCGAAAGGAATGGAATGGAATGGAATAAAATGGAATGGAATGGTATCAACCCAAGTTGAATGGAATGGAATGGAATGGGATGGAATCGAAAGGAATGGAATGGAATGGAATAAAAAGGAATGGAATGAAATCAATCCGAGTGGAATGGAATGGAATGGAATGGAATGGAATGGAATGGAAACCACACGAGTTTAATGGAATGGAATGGAATGGAATGGAATGGAATGGAGTGGAATGGTATGGATGCAACACGAGTCAAATGGAATGGAATGGAATGGAATGGAATGGAGTGGAGTGGAATGGAATGGAATGGAATGGAATGGAATGGAATGGAATGGAATCAACAAGAGTCGAATGGAATGGAATGGAACGGAATGGAAAGGAAAGGAATGGAATCAACCGGAGTGGAATGGAATGGAATGGAATGGAATGCAATGGAATGGAATTGAATGGAATGGAATGGAAAAGAATGGAATTCATTGGATTGGAATCAACTAGAATGTTATGGAATAGAATGGCATGAAAAGGAATGGAGTGGTATGGAATGGAATAAAATGTAATTGAATCAACCTGAGGTGAATGGAATGGAATGCAATTGAACGGAATGGAATGGAATGGAATAGAGTTAAGGCGAGTGGAATATAAAGGAATGGATTGGAATGTAATGGAAAGTAATGCAATGGAATGGAATCAACCGTAGTGGAATGGAATGGAATGGAATGGAATGGAATGGAATGGAATGGAATGGAATCAACATGAGGGGATTTGAATGGAATGGAATGGAATGGAATGGAATGGAATGGAATCAACATGAGGGGATTTGAATGGAATGCAATGGAATGGAATAGAGTGCAATGGAATGGTATAGAATGAACCCGAGTGGAATGGAAAGGAATAGAAAGAAATGGAATAAAATGGAATGGAATGGAATCAACACAAGTGCAAAGGAATGGAAGAGAAAGGGATGGAATGGAATGAAATGAAATGGAATAAAAAGAAATGAAATGAAATCAATCTGAGTGGAATGGAATGGAATGGAATGCAAAGGTATGGAATCAACCTGAGTTGAATGGAATGGAAAGGAAAGGAATGTAAAGCAATAAACCCGAGTGGAATGGAATGGAATGGAATGGAATGGAATGGAATGGAATGGAATGGAATCGATGCAACACGAGTCAAATTGAAAGGAATGGAATGGAATGGAGTGGAATGGAATGGAATGTAGTGGAATAAACACGAGTCGAATGGAATGGAATGGAATGGAACGGAATGGAATGGAAACTAAGGGAATGGAAGCAACCCGAGTGGAATGGAATGGAATGGAACGGAATGGAATGGAATGGAATGGAATGGAATGGAATGGAATGGAAAGCAATGGAATGCATTGGAGTGGAATCAACTGTAATGGTATGGAATGCAATGGCATGAAAAGGAATGGAATGGAATGGAATGGAATCGAATGTAATTGCACCAACCAGAGGGGAATTGAATAGAATGCAATTGAATGCAAAGGAATGGAATGGAATAGAATGGAACGAAACGGAATGGAATCAACCCTAGTGGAATGGAATGGAATGGAATGGAATGGAATGGAATGGAATGGAATGGAATGGAATGGAATCAACTGGAAAGGAATGGAATGGAATGGTATGGAATGCAATGGAAAGGAATGGCATAACCCTAGTGGAATGGAAGAGAATGGAGTTGAAACGAATGGAAAGGAATGGAATGAAAAAGAATGGAATGGAATGGAGTGAAATGGAATTGAATGAACCAGAGTTGAATTGAATGCAATCGAATGAAATGGAATGGAACGGAATGGAATGGAATGGGGGGAAATGAAATGTAATGGAATCAACCCGAGTGGAATGGAATGGTAAGGAATGGATTGGAATGTAATGGAATGAAATGGAATGGAATTGAATGGAATCGAATGGAATGGAATCAACCCGAGTGGAATGGAATGGAATGGAAAGGAATGGTGTGGAATAAGTCAGAGTGGAATGGAATGGAATGGAATCGAATGAAATTGAATGGAATGGTATGGAATAGAATGGAGTGGAATATTATGGAATGGAATCAATGCAAATGGAATGGAAGGGAATGGAATGCAATAGAAAGAAGTGGAATGGAATGGAATCAAACCGAATGGAATGGAATGGAATGGAAAGGAATGGAATGGAATCAACCTGATTGGATTGGAATGGAATGGAAAGGAAACAACACGAGTGGAATGGAATGGAATGGAATGCAAAGGAATGGAATGGAATGGCATCAACCCGAGTGGAATGGAATGCAATGGAATGCAATGGAATGGAATGCAATGGAATGGAATGGAATGGAATGGAATGGAATGGAATGGAATGGAATGCAATGAAATGGAATGGAAATAAACCCGAGTAGAATGGAATGGAATTGAATGGAATGGAATGTAATGGAAATGAATGGAATGGAATCAACAGGAGTGAAATAGAATGGAATGGAATGAAATGGAATGGAATGGAATGGAATCAACACGAGTGGAATGGAATAGAATGAAATTGAATGGAATGGAAGGAATGGGAAGGAAAGGAATGGAGTGGAATGGAATGGAATCAAACAGAGTGGAATCAATGGAAAGGAATGGAATGGAATGGAATGGAATCAAGCGAGGTGGATTGGAATAGAATGGAATGCAATGGAATGGAATGGATTGGAAAGGAATGATCAACTCAAATGGAATGGAATGAAATGGAGTGGAATCGAATGGAATAGAATGGAATGGAAGGGAACCGAATGGAATGGAATGGAATGGAATCAATCCGAGTGGAATGGAAAGGAATGGAATGGAATGGAATGCAATGCAATGGAATGGAATGGAATGGAATGGAATGGATTGGTATTGAATTAACACAAGCGGAATGGAATGCAATGGAATAGAAAGGTAGAAAATGGAATGGAATGCAATCAATCTGAGTGGAATGGAATGGAATGGAATTGAATGGAGTGGAATGGAATAAAATGGAATGGAATGGAGTCCAACCGAGTGGAATGGAATGGAATGGAAGGGAATGGAATGGAATGGAATGGAATCAACAAGATTGGAATGGAATGGGGTGGAATAGATTGGAATATAATGGAATGGAATGGAGCCTACCCAAGTAGGAAGGAATGGAATGAAATGGAATGGATTCAACCCGAGTGGAATGGAATGGAATTCAATGGAATGGAATGGAATGGAATGGATTAGAATCAGCACTAGTTGAATGGAATGGAAAGGAATGCAAAGGAATAAAATTGAATGGAATGGTATGAATCCGAGTTGAATGCCATGGAATGGAATGGAATGGAATAAACAATGGAATCGAATCAACCCGAGTGGAATGGAATGGAATGGAATGGAATCAACAAGAGTGGAATGGAATGGAATGGAATTGAATGGAATGGAATGGAATGAAACGCAGTGCAATGGAATGGAATGGAATTCAAAAGAATGGAATGGAATGGAATGGAATCAACCAGAGTGGAATGGAATGGAATGGAATGGAATGGAATGGAATGGAAAGCAATGGAATGGAATGGAAACGACTGGAATGGAATGGATCGGAAAGGAATGGAATGGAATGCAATGGAATGGAATGGAATCAACCTTTAGGGAATGGAAAGGAAAGGAATGGAATGGAATGTAATCAACCAAATTGGAATGGAATGGAATGGAATGGAATGGAATGGAATCAACCCGAGTGGAATGGAAAGGAATGGTATGGAATGGAATGCAATCAACACAAATGGAATGGAATGGAATGGAATGCAATGGAACGGAAAGGAATCCATCCAAACGGAATGGAATGGAATGGAATGGAATGGAATAGAATGGAATGGAAAGGAATCAACCCTAGGGGAAAGGAATGGAATGGAATGGAATGGAATGGAATGGAATGGAATGAAATGGAATGGAAACAACCCGAGAGATATGGAATGGAATGGAATGGAGTGGAGTGGAAAGGAATGGAATGGAATGGAATGGAATGGAGTGGAATGGAATGGAATGGAATGGAATGGAATGGAATGGAATGGATTGGAGTGGAATGTAATACAATGCAGTTGAATCAACCAGATTGGAATGCAATGGAATGGAATGGAATGGAATGGAATGGAACAGAATGCAATTGAATCAACTAGAGAGGAATACAATGGAATGGAATGGAATAGAATGGAATGGAAAATAATGGAATTGAATCAACCTGAGTGGAATGGAATGGAATGGAAAGGAATGGAATGGAATGGAATGCAATGGAATTCAATCAACGCTAGTGGAATGGAATGGAAAGAAAGGGAATGGAAAGGAATGGAATGGAATAGAATGAAAGAGAATGGAATGGAATGGAATGGAATGGAATGGAATGGAATGGAATGGTATGGAAGGGAATGCAATGGAATGGAATGGAATGGAATGGAATGCAATGGAATGTAATTCAAAGGATTGGATTGGAATGGAATAGAATGGAATTGAATGGAGTGGAAGGGAATGGAATGGAGTGGAATGGAATAGAATGGAATGGAATGGTAGGAATTCAATAGAATGGAATTCAATCACCTCGAGTGGAAGGGAATGGAATTGAATGGAAAGTAATAAAAAGGAATGGAATCCACTCGATGGAATGGAATGGTATGGAATGGAGTGAAATGCTGTAGAAAGGATTTGAATCAACCCGAGTGGAGTTGTGTGGAATAGAGTGGAATGGAATGGAATGGAATGGAATGTAAAGGAATGCAAAGGAATAGATTGTAATTGAATCAACACGAGTGGAATGGAATTGAATGGAATGGAATGGAATGGAATGGAATGGAATGGAATTCACCCGAGTGGAATGGAATGGAATGGAATGGAAAGGAATACAATGGAATAGATTATAATTGAATCAACACGAGTGGAATGGAATTGAATGGAATGGAATACAATGGAATGGAATAGAATGGAATACAATCAACCCAAGTGGAATGGAATGGTATGGAATGGAATGGAATAGATTGGAATAGAATCAACCCGAGTGGAACTGAATGGAATGGAATGGAATGGAATGGAATGGAATGCCATGGAATAGAATAGAATGGAACTGAATCAACCCGAATGGAATGGAATGGATTGGAATGGAATGGAATGGAATGGGAAGGAATTGAATGAACCTGAGTGGACTGGAAAGGATTGGAATGGAATCGAATGGAATAGATTAGAATGGAATTGAATAAACCCAAGTGGAATGGAAAGGAATGGAATGGAATGGAAAGAATGGAATGGAATTAACCCAAGGGGAAAGGATTGGAATGGAATAGAATGGAACGGAATGGAAGGGAATGAATTCAAACCAAGTGGAATGGAATGGAATGGAATGGAATGGAAGGAACAGAATAGAATGGAATTGAATACAGCCGAGTGGAAAGGTATAGAATGGAACAGAATTGAAAGGAATGGAAAGGAGTGTAATATAATTGAATGGAATGGAATGGAATGGTATTCAATAGAATGGAATTGAATCAACCCGTGTGGAATGGAATGGAGTGGAAAGGAATGAAATGTTATGGAATGGAGTGGATTGGAATAGAAAGTTATTGAATCAACCCGAGTGGAAAGGAATGGAACGGAATGGAATGGAATGGAATGGAGTGGAATAATATGGAATTGAAACAACTGGAGTGGAACGGAATGGAAGGGAATGGAATTGAATGGAACGGAATGGACTGGAATGGAACGGAGTAGAATGTAATGTATCAACCAGATTGGAATGGAATGGAATGGAATAGAATGGAATGGAATGGAAACAACCCGAGTGGAATGGAATGGAAAGGAATGGAATGGAATGGAATGGAATAGAATAGAATGGAATCAACCCGAGTGGAATCAAATGGAATGGAATGGAGTGGAATGGAATGGAATGGAATGGAATAAGATGGAATAGAATGGAATTGAATCACCCCTTGTGGAAAGCAATGGAATGGAACAGAATGGAATAGAAAGGAATGGAATGGCATCGAATGGAATGTAATAGAATGGAATTGATTCAACCAGAGTGGAGTGGAATGGAATGGAAAGGAATGGAATGGAATTCAATGGAATTGAATGGAATTTAAACAACCCGAGGGGAATGGAATGGACCGGAATTGAATGGAATAAATTGGAATGGAATGGAATTGAATATAATGGAATTGAATCAAACCAAGTGGAATGGAATAGAAAGAAACGGAATGGAAAGGAATGGAGTGGAATGGAATGGAATGGAATGGAATGGAATGGAATGGAATGGAATGGAGTGGAGTGGAATAGAGTGGAATTGAATCACACAGAGAGGAGTGGAATGGAACGGAATGGAATGGAATGGAATGGAATGTGATAGAATGGATTTGAATCAACCCTAGTGGAATGGAATGGAATGGAAATGAATGGAATACAATGGAGTGGAAGGGAATTGAATAGAATGGAATTGAATCAAACTGAGTAGAATGGAATGGAATGGAATGGAATGGAATGGAGTGGAGTGGAAAGGAATGGAAAGGAATGGAATGGAATGCAATGGAATGGAACGGAATGGAATGGAATGGAACGGAATGGAATGGATAGGAATGGAATGGAAAGGAATGCAATAGAATGGAACTGACTCAACCCGAGTGAAATGGAATGGAATGGAATGAAATGGAATGGAATGGCATAGAATGGAATTGAGTAAACCGGAGTGGAATGGAATGAAATGGAATGGAATGGAATGGAATTGAATCAACCCGAGTGGAATGGAATGGAATGGAATAGAATTCAATGGAATCAACGCGAGTGGAAAGGAATGGAATGGAATGGAATAGAAAGAAATTGAATCAACCCAAATGGAATGAAATGGAATGGAATGGAAAGGAATTGAATAGACATGATTGGAATTGAAAGGATTGGAATGGATTCGAATGGAATGGAATAGAATGGAATTGAATAAACCCGTGTGGAATGGAATGGAAAGGAATGGAATGCAATGGAATGGAATGGAATCAATCCGAGGGGAATGGAAAGGAATGGAATAGAATGGAAAGGAATGGAATGTAATGAAATCAACCCGAGTGGAATGAAATGGAATGGAATAGAATGGAATGGAAGGAATAGAATGGAATGTAATTGAATACAGCCGAGTGGAAAGTCGTACAATGGAATAGAATGGAAAGGAATGGAATGGAGTGTAATACAATGGAATGGAATGTAATGGAATGGAATAGAATGGAATGGAATGGAATAGAATTCAATAGAATGGAATTGAATCAACACTTGTGGAATGGAATGGAGTGGAAAGGAATGTAATGTTATGGAATGGAGTGGAATGGAATAGAAAGTTATTGAATCAACGCGACTGGAAAAGAACGGAATGGAATGGAATGGAATAGAATGGAATGGAATGATATGGAATTGAAACAATCGGAGTGGAACGGAATGTAAGGGAATTGAATTGAATGGAACGGAATGGAATGTAATGGAACGGAATAGAATGGAATTTTCAACCAGAGTGGAATGGAATGGAAAGGAAGGAATGGAATGGAATGGAATAGAATGGAATTGAATCAACCCGAGTCGAATGGAATGGAATGGAATGGAGTGGAATGGAATGGAATGGAATGGAATGGAAAGGAGTTGAATGGAATGGAATAAAATGGAATAGAAAGGAATTGAATCACACAGTGTGGAATGGAATGGAATGGAATTGAATGGAATGGAAATGAATGGAATGGCATCAAATGGAATGGAATAGAATGGAATTTATTCAACAAGAGTGTAGTGGAATGGAATGGAATGGAATGGAATGGAATAGAATTGAATTTAATCAACCCGAACAGAATGGAATGGACTGGAATTGAATGGAATAGATTGGAATGGAATGGAAATGAATAGAATGGAATTGAATCAAACCAATTCGAATGGAATCGAATGAAATGGAATGGAATGGAATGCAATGGAATGGAATGGAGTGGTGTGGAGTAGAGTGGAATTGATTCAGAGTGGAGTGGAATGGAATGGAATGGAATGGAATGGAATGGAATGGAATGTGATAGAATGGATTTGAATCAAACCTAGTAGAATGGAATGGAATGGAAATGAATAGAATAGAATGGAATGGAAGGGAATTGAATAGAATGGAATTGAATCAAACCAAGTAGAATGGAATGTAATGGAATGGAATGGAGAGGAATGTAATGGAAAGGAATGGAGTGGAATGGAATGGAATGGAATGGAATGGAACAGAATGGAATGGATAGGAATGGAATGGAAAGGAATGCAATAGAATGGAATTGAGTCAACCCGAGTGGAATGGAATGGAATGGAATGAAATGGAATGGAATGACATAGAATGGAAATGAATCAACCGGAGTGGAATGGAATGGTATGGAATGGAATGGAATGAAATGGAATGGGACAGAATGGAATTGAATCAACCCGAGTGGAATGTAATGTAATGGAATGGAATGGAATGGAATGGAATGGAATGGAATGGAATAGAGTAGTATGGAATTGCATCAACCTGAGTGGAACGGAATGGAATGGAATGCAATGGAATGGAACGGAACGGAATGGAGTGGAATGGAAAGGAAAGTATTGGAATGGAATGGAATGGAATGGAAAGTAATGGAATGGAATGCAATTTAATGGAATCAAAACGAGTGGAGTGGAATGGGATGCAATGGAATGGAATGGAATGGAATAGAATGGAATTGAATCAACCCAAGTGGAGTGGAGTGGAATGGAATGGAATGGAATCAAATGGATTGGAATGGAATCTAATGGATTGGAATGGAATGGAATGGAATGGAATGGAATGGAATAGAATTTAATTGAATCAACAGGAGTGGAATAGAATGGAATGGAATGGAATGGAATGGAATAGGATGGAATTGAAACAACCCGAGTGGAATGGAATGAAAGGGAATGGAATTCAATGTAACGGAATGGAATGTAATGGAATGGAATAGAATGGAATTTATCAACCCGAGTGGAATGGAATAGAAGCGAATGGAATGGAATGGAATGGAATGGAATGGAATGGAATGGAATGGAATCAACTCGAGTGTAATGGAATGGAATGGATTTGAATGGAATAGAATGGAATGGAATGAACTCGAGTGGAATGTAATGGAATGGAATGCAATGGAATTTAATGGAATAGAAATGAATTGAATCAACCCGAATGGAATGGAATGGATTGGAATTGAATGGAATGGAATGGAGTAGAATGGAATTGAAGCAACATGAGTGGAATGGAATGGAACGGAATGGAACGGAATGGAATGGAATGGAATGAAATGGAATGGAATGGAATTGAATCAACACGAGTGGAGTGGAATGGAATGGAATGGAATGGAATGGAATGGAATGGAATCAACCCGAGTGGAATGGAATGGAATGGAATATAATGGAATTGAATCAAGCCGAATGGAATGGAATGGAATGGAACGGAATGGAATGGAATGTAATAGAATGAAATTGAATCAACCACAGTGCAATGGAATGGAATGGAATGGAATAGAATGGAATTGAATCAACCCGAGTGGAAAGGAATGGAATGGAATTGATGGGTACAGAATAGAATGGAATGGAAAGGAATAGAATGGAATTGAATCAAACCGAGTGTTATAAAATGAAAAGGAATGGAATGGAATGGAATGGAATGGAATGGAATGGAATGGAATGGAATGGAATAGAACAGCATTGAGTGGAGTGGAATGGAATGGAATGGAATGTCAGGGAAATAAAAGGAATGGAATGGAAGGGAATGGAATGTAATTGAATGGATAGGAATGGAATAGAATGGAATTGAATCAACCTGAGTGGAATGAAATGGAATGGAATAAAATGGAATAGAATGGAATTGAATCAACCCGTGTGGAATGGAATGGAATTGAATGGATTGGAATGGAATGAAATGGAACGGAATGGAATGCAATTGAATGCAATGAAGAGAATGGAATGGAATGGAATGGAATGGAATGGAATGGAATCAACCCGAGTGGAATGGAATGGAATGGAAGGGTATGGAACGGAATGGAGTCGAATGGAATCAAACAGAAAAGAATGGAATTGAATAAAACCGAGTTGATTGGCATAAAGTGATATGGAATGGAAAGAAAAAAATGGATTTGAATCAACCCGAGTGGAATGGAATGGAATGGATTAGAATGGAATGGAATAGAATGGAATGGAAACAACCCAAATGGAAAGGAATGGAAGCTAATGGAATTGAATGGAACGGAATGGAATGTAATGGACTGGAATAGAATGGAATTTATCAACCCGAGTGGAATGGAATGGAATGGAATGGAATGGAATGAAACGAAATGGAATAGAATCAACCCGAATAGAATGGAATGGAATGCTATGGAATGAAATTGAATTAACCCGAGTGGAATGTAATGGAATGGAATGGTAAGGGATGGAATGGAATGGAATGTAATAGAAGCAACACGAGCTGAATGGAATGGAATGGAATAGAATGGAATGGAATGGAATGAAATCAACACGAGTGGAAAGGAATGTAATGGAATGGAACGGAATGGAATCACGCCGAGTGGAGAGGAATGGAATGCAATGGAAGGGAATCGAATGGAATGGAATATAATGGAATTGAATTAACCCAAGTTTAGTGGAATACAATGGAATGGAATGGGTTGGAATAGAATGGATTGGAATGGAATGCAATGGAAAGGAATGGAATTGAATCAGCCTGAGTGGAATGGAATGGAATGGAATGGAATGGAATGGAATGGAATGGAAGGAATAGGATGGAATGGAATTGAATCGACACGAGTGGAATGGAATAGATTGGAATGGAATGGAAAGGAATGGAATGGAGTGTAATAGAATGAAATGGAATGGAATGCAATGGAATTCAATAGAATGGAATTGAATCAAACCATGTGGAATGGAATGGAATGGAATGGAATGGAGAGGGGTGGAATGCAATAGAAATTTATTGAATCAAACCGAATGGAATGTATTGGGATGGAATGGAACGGAATGGAATGGAATAGAATTGAATCAAATAGAATAGAATGGAATTGAATAAACCCGAGTTGATTGGAATTAAATGAAATGGAATGGAAAGCAAAAAAATGGATTTGAATCAACCCGAGTGTAATGGAATGGAATGGAATGGAATGGAATGGAATAGAATGAAATGGAAAGAACCCAAGTGGAAAGGAATGGGAGCGAATGAAAGTGAATGTAACGGAATGGAATGTAATGGACTGGAATAGAATGGAATTTATCAACCCGAGTGGAAAGGAATGGAATGGAATGGAATGGAATGAAACGAAATGGAATAGAATCAAGCCGAGTGGAATGCAATGGAATGCAATGGAATGGAATTGAATCAACCCGAGTGGAAAGTAATGGAATGGAATGGAAAGGAATGGAATGGAATGGACTGGAATAGAAGCAACACGAGTGGAATGGAATGGAATGGAATAGAATGGAATGGAATGGAATGGAATGGAATGGAATGGAATGGAATGAAATCAACCCAAGTGGATTGGAATGCAATGGAATGGGACGGTATGGAATCAAACCGAGTGGAGTGGAATGGAATGCAATGGAATGGAATCGAATGGAAAGGAGTAGAATGGAATTGAATTAACCCAAGTTTAGTGGAATAGAATGGAATGGTATGGATTGGAATAGAATGGAGTTGAATGGAATGGAATGGAAAGGAATGGAATTGAATCAGCCTGAGTGGAATGGAATGGAATGGAATGGAATGGAATATAATGGAATTAAATCAAACCGAGTGGAACCGAATGGAATGGATTGGAAAGGAATGGAATGGAAAGGAATTGAATGGATTGGAATGGAACAGAATGGAATGGAATCAACCAGAGTGCAATGGAATGGAATGGAATTTAATGGAATGGAATCAACCCCAGTGGAATGGAAAGGGAAGGAATGGAATGGAATGGAATGGAATGGAATAGAGTGGGATGGAATAGAATGGAATGGAATCAACCAGAGTGGAATGGAATGGAATGCAATGGAATAGAATGGAATGGAATGTTAGGAATACAATAGAATGGAATGGAATCAACTCGAGTGGAATGGAAAGGAATTGAGTGTGGAATGCAATAGAATGGAATGGAATCCACTCGAGTGGAATGGAATGGTATGGAAAGGAGTGAAATGCCATAGAACGGATTTGAATCAACCCGAGTGGAGTGGATTGGAATGGAATGGAATGGAATGGAATTCAATCAACCCGAGTGGAATGGAATGGAATGGAATGGAATGAAATGGAATGGAATGAAATGGAATTCAACAGAATGGAATTGAATCAACCCGTGTGTAATTGAATGGAATGGAATGGAATGGAATGGAGTGGAATGGAACAGAAATTTATTGAATAAATCCGAGTGGAATGCAACGGGATGGAATGGAATGGAATGGAATGGAATAGAATGGGATTGAATCAACCAGAGTGGAATGTAATGGAACGGAAAGGAATGGATTGGAATGGAATAGAATGGAATTGAAACAACGCGAGTGGAACGGAGTGGAAGGGAATGGAATTGAATGGAATGGAATGCAATGTAATGGAAAGGAATAGAATGGCATTTATCAACATGAGTGGAATGGAATGGAATTGAATGGAATGGAATGGAGTGGAATGGAATGGAATGGAATCAACCCAAGTGGAATGGAATGGAATGGAATGGATTTGAATGGAATAGATAGGAATGGAATGAACCCGAGTGGAATGTCATGTGAAGGAATATAATGGAATTGAATGGAACAGAAAGGAATTGAATCAATCCGAATGGAATGGAATGGATTTTAATTTAATGGCACGGATTGGAGTAGAATGGAATTGAAGCAACATGAGTGGAATGGACTGGAATGGAATGGAACGGAATGGAATCAACCCGAGGGGAATGGAATCGAATGGAATGGACAGGAATCAAACCGAGTGGAATGGAAAGGAAGGAAATGGAATGGAATGGAATGGAATGGAATAGAAGCAACCCGATAGAAATGGAATGGAATGGAAGGGAATGGAATGGAATGGAAGGGAAGGGAATGGAATGGACAGGAATGGAAAGGAATGGAAATAACCCGGGTGGAATTTAGTGGAATGGAATGGAATGGAATGGAATCGAATGGAATGGAATCAACCCGAATGGAATGGAATGGAATGGAATGGAATGGAATGGAATGGAATGGAATCAACCCGAGTGGAATGGAATGGAATGGAATGACATTGAATGGAATGGAATGAATTGGAATGGAATGGAATGGAATGGAAGGGAATGGAATGGAATGGAATGGAATGGAATGGAATGAGTCGAATGGAATGGAATGACATGGAATGGAATGGAATGGAATGGAATGGAATGGAATGGAATGGAATCAAGTCGAGTGGAATGGAATGGAATGGAATGACATGGAATGGAATGGAATGGAATGGAATGAAAT